>NC_000006.12:160373820-160525335 GCF_000001405.40 Homo sapiens
ACCTACTCAAGCCTCAGTAATGATGGACACCCCTCCCCCACCAAGCTCGAGTGTCCCAGGTCGATTTCAGACTGCTGTGCCGGCAGCAAGATTTTCAAGCCAGTGGATCTTAGCTTGCTGGGCTCCATAGGGGTGGGATTCACTGAGTTAAACCACTTGGCTCCCTGGCTTCAGCCCCCTTTCCAGGGGAGAGAACAGTTCTGTTTTGCTGGAATTTGAAGCACCACTGGGGTATGAAAAAAACTCCTGCAGCTAGCTCAGTGTCTGCCCAAATGGCTGCCCAGTTTTGTGCTTGAAACCCAGGGTCCTGGTGGTATAGGCACCCGAGGGAATCTCCTGATCTGCACGTTGTGAAGACCATGGGAAAAGTGTAGTATCTGGGCCAGAATGCATGGTTCCTCACAGGATGGTTTCTCAAGGCTTCTCTTGGCTAGGGGAGGGAGTTCCTCAACCCCTTGCACTTCCTGGGTGAGGCAATGTCCCACCCTGCTTCAGCTCACCCTCTGTGGGCTGCACCCACTGTCTAACTAGTCCCAGTGAGATGAGCTGGTGCCTCAGTTGGAAATGCAGAAATCACCCACCTTCTGCATCCACCTCGCCGGGAGCTGCAGACCAGAGCTGTTCCTATTCAGCCATCTTGCCACCTGTGAAAGTCTTTTGAATGGATGAATGAATAAATGAATGAATGAACTGTTTTTTCACTGGCTTCATATGCTCATGCCTCACTAAGGTTGTAGAAAATACAGGATCTTGAATACTTTAAAGTGGCAATGTCTTGTGAGACAGACATCATCCCTGCTGTCCCAAAATTACCCAGCGTGTGTGGAGAGGCCCCTGGCTTTGGAGATGGGGGGCATTTCCCTTGACTCCCACCTCCTCAGCACCACAGGGCTCATCTCTGGGGACCTGGCTTTCCAGTTAGAGCAGACCTGGATCAAGAAGGGCCACAGGAAAGAGAAAAGAAAGACTTGGCAGTGGGAGGGCAGGGCGTTCAGGCCTCTCCAGGGAAGGGTGCCAACCTCTGGACTTAGCATGATGTTTTTAAAAGAAATGAATGTGTGTCTTGTCTCTACCTTCAACTTGTAAGGCAAGTGCAGTGCCAGAGGCTGGGGTATCTCTGCTGCCCAGGTGCACTCCACAGAGACAGAGCAAGAGCACGTGCAGACTGTGCTGTCCAACTCGCATAGAAGGCTGACAACCACTTCCGTCCTAATGGGGAAAGTGAAGTTGGCAAGGCAGAAATGACCACATGCTCACCCAAAACCTTGGTAGCAGCATGTCTTTCCAGAAATTTTGCAAGCCAGATCTGGAAATTTGATGGCTTTGCTCCTCTTTTTCCTGAAAGAAATGGAAGGAATCAGGCTCATGAAAAGCCAGATTTCACCTCCATGCACACAACCAGGACCCTTGCCTTCCTGAAATGCCCCACAGGCTTTCACAGAATAGATGCAGTCTTAGCAGTGGGCAGCTTGCTTGTTGTCTGGCCTAAGTCTGAGCCAAGATAAAGACATATAAACTGCCAAGGAGACACTCTATTCCAGAACCTTCTCTTCTTTGCAAAGCAAACATAATTTTAAGATCAAGATGCATAACTCTTGTAATCAAAAGCTTACACATTTCCTAGCCCCCCCACCACCCTCCACCCCCAAGCAATGGGTTCTAAGCAATATAAACTGCCAAAGTGGTGTGTAGAGGGAAATAAAAACCAGACTGGTAAGATACCAACTTTTTTATACCAGTTTCAGAAAGTGCTTATGCAGAGCAAGTGTGGGACAATATTCAATTGGCAAAAATATGATGAAAGTAGCTCACTTAAGAAAGGAATAAAGTCTTGTTTATTGAAAGAACAGTGACAAGTTTTTTTAAATTCTGAAAGTCTTGCATATTTCCTGCACTGTATATTTACCTAAGTACAAGTGTTTTAAGAATGATCTCTTGAGCCTGCTTAAATCAAGAACGCATATTTCAGCAATTTGAAAAAAATTGCATTTCTTTGTTCATGGCTGTTCTCGGGGTTGAGAGGTATGGACCCAGGAGTCAGAGGTCTGAGTTTAGGCTTCCACCTGCTAACTAGCTTGGAACCTCTGACTAGGTTTTTAAACCCTCTAAGTCTTGGGTTTCTCACCTGTAGAATGAGGATAATAATCATGTCTACCTCACAGTATTGTTGGGAGGACTTAATGAGATGTAGAGAAACTAATCTAAAGCCTGGCTCACAGAAAGGTAATGTGAAGTCTCAAAAAAAGTGAATTTTACAATAGCAAAGACATGGAACCAACCCAAATGCCCATCAGTGATAAAGAAAATGTGGTACATATATACCATAGAATACTATGCAGCCATAAAAAGGAACGAGATCATGTCCTTTGCAGGGATATGGATGAAGCTAGAGGCCATCATCCTCAGCAAACTAACACAGGAACAGAAAACCAAACACCACATGTTCTCACTCATAAGTGGGAGTTGAACAATGAGAACACATGGACTCAGGCAGGGGAACAACACACACCGGGGCCTGGTTGGCGTGGGGGCAGGGGGGTGGTGCGGAGAGGGGTGAGGGGAGGGCGAACACCAGGACAAAGAGCTAATGCTCGTGGGTCTTAAAATATAGATCATGGGTTGATAGGTGCAGCTAACCACCATGGCACACGTATACCTATGTAACAAACCTGCACATGTATCCCAGAACTTAAACTAAACTAAAATTTTTTTTTAAGTGAATTTTAGCCACTAGATTTTAGAGTTGAAGCATGCCATGGTACTTGTGATTAGGCATCTACCTGTGTATTTATTCACCTGAACACCTGGATGTGTAGAATAAAAATTGCTCAATTGTTGAAGGCTGCTGCATCGCTCTATGCTACTTGTTCTGTTAAAGTATGTTCAGGGAGCCAGCCCAGAGAGGCACCTCCTTTTAGCTCTGTGAGGCCTTAAAGCTGGGTCACCATGAAGTCCCTGTATATATATTTTTTGTTTTAATAACTCCAAGTAACCAAATGAAAACAATTATTTATAAAATGTATTAAGAAGTAAATGTTATCAATTTGGGACTTTGCACAACTATTATTAATGTGACCTCAGGTCCCATGACAAATTAGAATGGCAATCCTGGGTGAGAAGTTAATTTTGTCCTGAAGCTGGCAGAATCAACATGCACCCCAGTTGTGGGATAGGCCTGTTCTCTCACTCCATCACATCCAACACCTGGCAAGGACAGCTTTTGGTATGCTAAAGAATTTGGGAAAGATGCTGTTGGTGTAGGGGCGGGGAGACTAGAAACAAGATCTTTCCATGGGCAGAGCTCTTCAGAGCTTGATAACAAAGTTTGGTCTGCAGCCTTTGTCAAATAATTATAAACTCTCCAGTTGAAACAGGGAAATGTGGGCTGGCGTGGTGGCTCACACCTGTAATTCCAGCACTCTGGGAGGCTGAGGCAGGTGGATCACTTGAGGTCAGGAGTTCGAGACCAGCCTGGCCAATATAGTGAAACCCCATCTCTACTAAAAATACGAAAATTAGCTGGGTGTGGTGATATGCACCTATAGTCCCAGCTACTCAGGAGGCTGAGGCAGGAGAATTGCTTGAACCCAGAAGGTGGAGGTTGCAGTGGGCTGAGATCATGCCAACACACTCCAGCTGATAGAGTGAGACTCTATTTCAAAAAAAAAAAAAGAAAGAAAAACAGGGAAACGTTTGCAAAGCTTCCATCTCCAGGTTGACTTCAGTCAATAATCCTATTGTCTTAAGGCTGGAGTGGACTTCCTTGAAGCTCTTTGCCCAGAAAACCTTGCCAAAACTCTCCTAAGATTATTAAGAGTTTTCTCGAGTCTCTTTTCCTGATTCCAATCAACTGGAAATGTTATGAAAATAATTCTGTGGTCAAGTCTCACTTACTCTTGCTCTCAAACACAATCCACCAAAAGAACAAAACACAAAGTAAAAGTGGATGCAAGACACAAGAGGAAGAGGGGCCCTCTGCAGAGGCTGCTAAGCAAACGTAGGTTTGGCTCAAAGATTTTTGTTTCTTTGAATCAGTTCACTATTTTTAACCTGTGGAAATTTGTTCACTCATTCTAACAGTAGCTTTTGCTTTGTGAAATTGGTTTATTTAGTGTTATGTTCCTCCTGTAAACCTTTTCATTGTATGTTTTTCTCCTAATCTAATGGTAATCCTCTCAGTGATATGAGTAACCTGGTGTTTGTATTTAACACTCCTTCAACATTCACAGAATCAGAAAATATCAGAACAAGAAAGCCCCAGCCTTCAAGATTGTTTGATTTGTGTTCCCTAATTTTATGTGTGAACAAAACTGAGGCTGTGAAGATTCTAGAATAATATGTTGAGCTCAAAAATATGGTAGTAGAATTAGAATATAGCTTTCTAATATTTGTATAAAAGTCAATGATATTTAGAAGTTTAAAAAAGATACACATTAAACTGGGAAAATACTAAATATTTAAATTCTGTAGGCTAGTTTTCATATTCTGGAAAGGTGGATTTTCATATGGCACTGGTGCTGGTGTTTCATCAGGTCAGCTGTCTATGTCATAAGAGGGTGTTCTTATTAGAAAATGTAGGCTTTGGCAAGCTTTAAAAGGTACACGTGTTACTGCATGTTCTGACGAGATTTTGAAAATCTTTGGCAACTGTGCTTTCCAAGTGGAGAAAAAGGGCTACCATAATGTTGAAAGACGGAAATTAAAATCTAATCAGATATGGTGGCCCTTATCCTCCACCTTAGAATTTCTTTTCGTGGAATGTCTGGTGGACAGTAATATATAGAGGCTCCTCGACTTAGGATGGGATCACATCCAGATACACCCATTGTTAAATTGAAAATATCATAAGTTGAAAAATGCATTTAATATACCTAATCTACCAGACATCATAGCTTAGCCCAGCCTACTTTAAATTGCTCAGAATGCTTACACTAGCCTGCAGTCGGGCAAAATTATCTAACACAAAGCCTATTTTGTAATAAAGGGTTAAATAGCTCATGTAATTTATTGGATATAGTATCAGTTGTTTCCCCTTGTGATCGCATCACTGACTGGGAGTTGTGGCTCACTGCCACTTCCCAGCATATATGACTAGCCTGGAAAAAGATCAAAATTAAAAAACAAAGTACATTTCTACTAAGTGCATATCACTTTCACACCATTATTAAGTCGAAAATCGCCAAGTTGAACCATCCTAAGTTGGGGACCGTCTGTAGATCAGGCAATCCTTGACATTTTATGGCGGCAGATTGCCAAAAGAGATTGGAGTCTAGAAGTCCTGGAAGCAGCCCCAACAATTACACAGAACTCAGCATCATGCCCTCACATCAAGGCAAGGAGGGAGAGTTGTCCCTATTTTTCCTTTCCTTGAAAGGGATAGTGAAACTCATTCTGAGGTTTTTAAAAAATGTACTTTTTAATGCTTTTCCTCTATCTGTTTTGCTCTCCCTTGATACCCTGTCTACATCATGATGGCTGTGGCACTGCTCCTGCTCCTTACATGGGGTCTTAGAATGCACAAAGCTGCCCAATATCACTTTCTCTGTATTTGAGGAAAATTTCTAGTAGCAAAAGAATATCCTCTGACACTCTTTTCAAAATGCCAACTAAATGTGATAGAACTACTTTTTGCAACAGTGAAGTCCCAAAGTCTCTTTCTTCCTGATGGGTTAATTTAGTACCTTCCTTTTTCCAAATCAAAGAACCATAAAAGTCAGTGAAAATCTGCATTATTATTATCCTGTGTGTTTAGTTTTGCTTTTTAGTACTTACCATTATTAAACACTTGGCCCATTTTTGGCTAATTGTTGTGTAATTCCAAATACAAACCAGTCACCATGGATTATTGCAGTTAGAGTCATCAGAAAGCAAGGAGCTATGACTCATGCTCTGTTCTTGCCATGTTTTTCTGATTTGTATTTCATTTCTTACCTGTGCTCACAAGTCACATGAAGATCAATACATCTGAAATATATATGCTGACTATGTCACCAGATTTTATTTCTCCCATCATTGAATCTGGACAGGCTTCTTTCAAAAGTGTTGAGTCATTTTTATGTCTTTATCACACTCTTCTAAAGTCCTTAAAACTCCTAATTATTTCAGAGGATTATTGTCATATAAGGTATACAAAATCAATTATATGAAGAAGTTGTAATCACTATAATTAAACTGAGGCTTATCTAGACAGATCCTGTGTCATATTTTTCACATAATGAGGCTAAAAACTTTGTGGAGAAAATAATGGATATTTATAGAATATACTCAAGTGTATTTATTTTAGAAGGTCTGTTAGACATTTCACAAAAGAATCTGTAATCTACAGAAATTACCAAATTATGTTACATAATATTTTAAAAACTTGTTTTAGAATAAGTTGGAATGTGAGGTTTATAAAACAACTGGAATAATAAACTGAAATTATAATTTAATTTTTATACCCAGTGCATTTATTTTTCTTCCTATGACTTGACTATAGTTTAAAATTCTTATAGGTTTAGTATCCCTTTTTTGAAAACAGGTTTTCAATGTGTTTCTGTAACAATAATGAAAAGTAAAGGCATGTAATCTCTTTTCCAAAATAAAAGATTGGTTTGAGAATTATGATCATATATACAATGTACTAAATGCAACCTTTTATGATGATGATATAAAAGATTCACAGACTCACAAATCATATGCCACTCAACTAAAATACTAAGAGAACATAACTTTATCTTTATAAAACATATACATAGGCATAAATACATAGACAAAGGTCTAGAAAAATATGCATATCAGTGTGGAAATGCAAGTGATGATAATGATTTCTGTTGTTTTCTTCTAATTTCTATAGAGTCACTATGCTATTTAAATTTTCAAAAAATTAAGTTATGTGCAATAATCTTTTTAAAATTATTTGTTTTTTAATCAGCTTTTTAATCTGATGACATAGAATGATAACGTAGTAAATCATAGTTTCTGAACCAAAAAACAGGGACACATAGACTGAGAAGTGCCAAGTTCATTTTAGAGATTAAAAATACAACGGCATTGGGACTTTTCTAGAAAATTCAAGATATGTGGTCACAATTGAGGTGTTCAGCTTCTAGAGCGAACTGAACCAGATATCTGCTAAGGCTCTGATAGAGAACAGCTGGAAGCTCAGAAAGGTAAACATAATTCAAATATTGGTGAATATGCCAGTGCAGCCGAGAAGGTGACAGGATTTGAAAAATGTGCCAGGACACAATGAGAAAGGCCTTGGAATAAATACAAAAAGCCCAAACTTTATTCTGTAAAAGTGGGGAGCTACTGAAGGTTTTAATCAAAGCAGGGATAATCTCATTTCCAAGGCAAAAAAACAAAAAGAGGCATTCCTTCCTAATACCACATGTAGGAGCTGTTCTTATTCTATGGTGGATTATTACTTTAGTAGTATCTTATAAAGACAGTGCCTGAAGGTCTTTTATCTGTACATTGATGTAACACTTTTCAAAAGCATATCAGCAGACACATTTTTGGAAGCATGCATTCTGAAACTTGAACTTCAAATAGGAGTTATGGCTGATATCATGGAGTAAGGTAAAACAGAAGCTGACTCCTCTCCAGTATTCAAGGCTGACTGTTGTCTCTGGAACTGAGAATACTGGGAAAAGTGTGAGTTGGACACTGTGCACAACTCTAATTAACACTGTTCTAAAGGGAAAGTATATGAATATATTGTTTAAACACTAATAGTTAAAAGTTATACTACAATATCTTCAAGGTTTAACACATAAATTGAGACACACACTTAATTAGGCCTAAGAAAGAAGTGGAATGTAAACTCGTTGATTTTATTTTCATAAATGATTTATTTTACAACTATGAAGAGGAATAATAGAGGCCTTTTATTAGCAAAGAGATTATTATGATGTCTATTTTCAGCCATGATTTTTCTACCAATGGAAAGTGGAACTGAAAACCTACTTAGGGTGATGTGTTGGGGTTGGGATCAAAGAGACTACTATAACTGTCCTACCTCTGAGATTCCAGCATCACATGTGGTGACAATAACACTTCATTTAGTTATATTTCTAGTGAGTCCAGTGGAATGGAGAAAATTTTTTAAGTTAAAAATTCTAAAGGACATATGTATAATGGTAGGAATTATTTAGTCTTCTTAATAAAATAAATCATTTATTTTAGAATTATTTTGTAGTCTGAAAGCACATTTCCTATAATTTTTAAATGTGAAAGCAGGCAATATTATCTTGTAGGTATTGTATTATATTACAAGAGCCAAAGCATGCTGATTCCCAATTTCATCCAGTATGACTTGTCTTAGAAAAAGAAATAAAAATGCAGATCCATTTATTCACTTATTAACTGAGTACATTTCCTGAATCCATGTGCACGTTGGGTGATAGGAAGCTGAGGCCCTGCTGGCTAAAGATGTAAGAGAACAGAGCCTAAAACTGGCACACCAGCTGGAAATTAGGAGGGCAAGTTTCCCTAGAAATGGGAGAACCACAGATAGGATGAACCCCAAAATCTGAATATAAACTCTTTCCAAATACTTGGCTGACCACCAACTTATGCAAACATAAGGGAGACTTCAGTAGGCCAGCCTGAAACAAAGCAACTGCAGAAGCTGAAAAATTTAGGGATTTGTCAGTTGCTGCATATCACAGGAGAGCAGAGCTTGTAGTTTGAGTCCAGGTCAGCTAACTTCTTACCAGAACAATAAGCCAATGATCACCAGGAGAGCACAATAGAACTCAGAAAGGCTGCAGTGACTATTATCTACTAGCTTTAGGCCCTGTCCTCTGATATATCAAGCTAGTAAGACATGCAAGGAAACCAGGAATGTGATAATGCCTGGGGCTGGGAGATTATGGAAATTGTCAGTCACCCAAAACTGACTCTAAATAGGCCTCCATGTTGAATTTAGTAGTCAAAGACTTCAAAGCACCTATTGTAGATATGCTCAACCAAAGGGCATTAAAAGAATTAAAGGAAAAATTGTCTTAATGAATGAGTAGATAGGGAATCTCAACAGAGAAATTACATTATTAAAAAAATGGAAATTCCAGAGCTGAACAAGTACAATAATTGAAATAACAAACTTGCTAAACAGTCTCAATAGCATATTGGAGATGGCAGAAGCAAGAATAAGTGAAATTGACAATAGATTTTTAAAAATGGCCCAATCTTAAGAATAGAAAGAAAAAAATACCCACAAAAAACACTATCAAGGAGTCCAGCACACAAAATCCAAGCTCTGCCTGTGCATTAGGCTTCAGGACATGAGGGAATGGCAGTGAATTAGGGCTGCACTATGCCAGGAACACTCATTTACCACAACTGGATTTGTCAGCAGTTCGAGTGAACTTTCCTTAGGCATTATAGAATTAACTGTACTTAGAGAGAGGTTCTTGGTTAACCTCAGTGTTTTCACATTTTAAATTATTTCCTAAGTTTCAAGTGAAACTAAATATCATTTGAAAGACTTTTAAAGGCAGTCTGCCCACCCCACTCCAACTCACCCCAATTTCCACTAACAACTACTTCAAATGTAATTGTCAGAAAGAGCACCCCACTCCACTGCACCCCAAATCAGCCTCCGATAGATATTGCATCTGACCCTGGGGGGCCCTTCCCGCTTTCCTCTTGCTATGCTCACTACACTTTATTTCCCTCAATGAAAACTCCTTCCCCACCCTCCTAATGTGTGACTTCACATTCTATACATAGAATTTCTTTTTTTTTCCAAAGTGAATATAGTTTTATATATTTTTTAACTACATAAAAATAAAACACAATCAATACAAAAAGAAATGGATAAAACGCAAATGTGAAAACAAACTCACCAATCACCAACCACTCAGAACTTTAGGTCAGTTTAATAGGTGTCCTCTTCTGACATTTCAGTGTCCAGTCTGCCCTCCTTATCCATGGGGTCTGCATCCACAGATTTATCCAACCATGGATAGAATATATGTTTTAAAAAGCAAAAAAAAATATATAAATAAAAACCAATACAGTATAACAACTATTTACATAGCTATGTTGTATTAGGTATTGTAAATAATCTAGAAATAATTTAAAGTGTATGGAAGGATATTCATAGGTTATATGCAAATACTACATCAGTTTTGGTGGGGGGGATGGAGTCTCACTCTGTCACCCAGGCTGGAGTGCAGTGGTGCCATCTCAGCTTACTACAACATCTGCCTCCTGTGTTCAAGCAATTCTCCTGCCTCAGCCTCCTGAATAGCTGGGATTACAGGCGCACACCACCAGGACCAGCTAATTCTTGTATTTTTAGTAGAGACGGGGTTTTCCCATGTTGGCTAGGCTGATCTCAAACTCCTGACCCTGTGTGATCTGCCCACCTCGGCCTCCCAAAGTGAGCCACCACGCCTGGCTCAAATACTATATCATTTTATATCAGGGACTTAAACATCTGTGGATTTTGGTATCCAAGGAGGGTCCTAGAATGAATCACCAGATTATGGTCATCTCCTGAGGATGATTGTATATACATAAATTCGGGGTGTTTTACACCAATGGAATCATATGCCCAGTTTTATAATCTGATTTTAATTTTTACTCAGAATGTGGATATCAGTCCAAATCAATAAATATAGACAATAATTGACTTAGTTCAGCAGAGAAACTGGAATCTCACACTAAGGGTGAGGAAGGCGGGAGACAGGAGCATTCAGGGAGGGGCAACTCACACCTTAGAGACCAGGAAAGACTCAGGTGTTTCTAAGCCAGGGGAGCCAGTGGGGCTGAACACAAGAGAATCGTGCAAGCTTTAAGAGGAGCATCCAGATCCCCAGATCTCCGGTTCCTCCAGGCAGCCCCAGGGGTCTGGGAGGCTGGGTGGGAAGGAGATCTAAGTGCTCCCTCCATGACCTGCTGCTCGACTCCCACCTTCCTTCCACCCTCAGAATTTCTCTGTGGGCCTCATTGTGACTCCGCTCCCCTCCTTCCCACCCAGGGGAAGCCATCTCCACATGATGGACTTTATCTGTGTGCCTCATCATGTCTCCACTCACCTCTTTCCCATGCAGGGAAAGCAGGCTCCGCACAGTGGGCTTTCTCTGGGCTCCTCTTCTTGTCTCACAGTCTCCTCCTCTGTGGCTTATGCTCTCAGGTTCCTGGTGCATTTATCAAACCAGCGCTCCGGGTCCTGCTCACTCTCCTCTGGCTGCCAGTGGGCAGCTCCCTGCCTCCCAGTGTTCTTAAGTTCAGCAGTTATAATTTTCATCTCCAATGATTCCTTTTTGCAGGATGCTCCTTTTTCATGATTAATTGCTCTCATTTTGTCAATGCAGCAGACTCTTGTGTCTCACTGAAAGCATGAATTCAGGTTTTTAGTTACTTCTTGTTTCTTGTGTACTGTTGTGCATGGAATCATTTTCTCCAGTTCTGCTCTTCTGAAGAATTGTGCTGAGCCCTGCTGCCCTGCCTGGCCAGCATCTTCTCTTCATATCTGTAGATGGACAGAGTTGTTCGGTGTAGCAGGTGCCCTGCGTTCTGTCATGGGAGACACAGTGCCTTGTTCAATTCTTTCACTTCCCAGTTACTGTATTTTTTCTGGTTGGTGGGGCTCAGGGGGAGATATCCAAGGGTTCAGGAGCTCTGGCCACTTTTCCTTGTGAGAGTTTGATGGGGCTGAACAAGACAGTTAGGGAAGGAGGTAAGCCCTCCCTTCAGGTGCTCAGCCCCTCTGACCTCTGTACTGTCTGCCCCGTGGCCTCCAGTCCCTCAACACACACCTGCACCCAGGACCAAGCTTCCTCGGCCCTACTGTGCGCAGCTGGACCCATGGGCTCCTGCACAACTGGACCCCAGAATCCTCCCTGCAGCCTTCCTCTGCCTTCCAGCCGACGCAGGAGCTGTTAGTGAAGGGGAACAGAAAAATGGATCCATAAATCCTTGCTTACCTCCCTCGCAGGCTCTCTTGCCTGGGACAGATGACATGGCTCCTGCCTGCTCTGCTCTCTGTCAAAACTTCCCCAAGTATTGAGTCTGTGGGCATGACCATTCTCTAGTTTCTATCTGTGGCTTGGAATTTGTGTTAATGTATTGGTTGGGTCCTTTCAATTGGAATGGGGAGAGAGAGGAATCCATAAATCTGTGACTCAGTGACCTTTAGGAATTGGAAGCCAAGGTCTATTTCTTATGTCTTATTTTGTTATTGTGCATAGCAGTGTCTCTCAACTGTTTGAATCCAGGCCCCTGGAGATGAATGTGGACTGTCAGTGGTGTGGCTTTTTCCACCTGCACCTTCTGCAGAGCAGGGTGCACCTTGAGCACCTTGAGCACGGGCACCTTCTGCCTGTGCACCTGTGCACATGAAGGAGCCTCTTGGGGTCTTGCTGCCTTTGGGGCTTTTGCTTTCGCCTCCAGCTCCTTATACTTCTGCCCATATATCTCACTCTCTGTTTTCCAGCCTGTCTTTTCTGTTTTCTGAAGTCTGCCCTTTCCCCTTCATGGTTAGGTGAAGGAAGGGGAAATAGAAGGAAATATTTGAAGAGGAAAGGTTGTGGCACTGCAGGGTATTTGTGACTTTGTCCCCAATTGCATTCTTCAAGTGCAGTTCTTGGTTTTTAGGGTATCTCTTTGAGTGAGATTATCTTTAAGTCTTTTGTCCTTATTCTGAGAAAATCTTATAAAGTTTCCCTATATCTTTTCATAGCCTGGATTTCTCAGAAAACACATGGAGAAGCAAAGCTTCTGCTAGGTTGCTGTGGGAAGGGGAAGTATAGGCCCAGGCGGGCAGAGTGAGGGAAGGGGAGTGGGGCAGAGTGGGCAGGAAAGTGGACACATGTGGGTCCCCACAGAGCCCTCCAGATCCCATGCATAGAGCAGCTGCTGCCACCAGCAGCACAGACATCTTCCAAGGGCTGGCAGAGCCAGGGCACCTGCTCTCCAAGAAGGGCAGAGGTCGGCAGGCATGCACAGCACTTACCCCAAGGCATGGTGTCATTATTGCTGTTGCTTTGGAGCCTCTTATGGGACTGGAATCTGTGGAGAGGATGGAGAGAGTAATGCATCTGGAATGGACCTCCTGGCTCCTTCCTATTTCTCATCTTGATGGTCACACTGCACACTTCCCAGGCCGCTTGGCCACCTCACTGTCATGCAGCCACCAGGACAGCCAGATCCCTGCTCCAAGCACTGCAGGAGGAGTCCTCCTCCAGCAGGGTACAACCTGGCACTGCAGCTGCTGTGACTCATGCGCATGGCATCAAGGCAGCCATGCCCAGGCCCAGCTCTTACCTCTGGGGAAGATAGACAGCTGACAGGTCAGGACACAGACTTTGGTGGCAACTGCCCGAGCACCCACATAGCAAGTTGCCGAGGCCAGGGGCATGCAGAGCCAGGAAAACCTGGGAAGATGCATAAACAGGCCCAGCCCAACTTTGCTTTCTGTAGGTTTCAGGTTGGCAGAGGAAAGCAAATAAGTGAAGAAAGAGTGGTGGGGGAGGAGCATTGGACAGAGGGAAGGAGGCCAAAGACAAACTCTTCTCACTGCCTGTAAGTGAGCAGGAGTCTGACCCCCGGCTTTTCTCCCAGAGCCTGCTTCTGGCTTTACAGTTATCACTGCCACACTCATGAGCAGTATTTCCAATACTGCACAGCAAGAGGGGCTCCCAAGGAAATACATGTAGACCCAATCTCAGCTTAGGCAAAAAGATTTCTTTGCTACAGGATTTGTCAGAACCTTAAAATGTCAATGTATTGGAATGTCTGCATTCAGAAGGGCTATCCGAGACATTATACTAATGTATGATGGTCTCCACTCATGTTTTTGGAGGCCTCATGGGAGTAGTGTTTATAGGCGTCACCTTAGGAAATGCTGCCCTAGACTTTTCTGACTGTTTGCCAGCCCCATCAGGCTTTGGATCTCGTATCTTCAGAAATGCTGTCAGTATTTTCCAAGGTAAAAACTAGTAAAGAAAACCAAACAAAAATCCAGAAATGTGCTCAGTTAATAGTTCTCCTAGTATCTTCCCAGAATAGCATGTGCATTTCACCCTTGTCCTGGAGATAATGTCTATTACCTGGATTATAATCTGGAAATGAATTCTAACTCCTTTTATTATGGGCATGACCTTGTTTCTGTACTCCCAGCCTCCAACCAGCAAGAAAATGGGGGTCTCAGTCCCACAGCCACAAGGACTGGGATTCTGTAAATGCCCCAGATGAGCTGGGAGGCAGATTCCTCCCCAGAGCCTGCAGATGGAGTTCAGCCTGCCCCTGACACCTTGCGTGGGAGACACTAACAGGGAGAAGAGCTGAGCCTCCCCCAGCCTTCTGACCTACAGCACCATGTGATCATGAATATGTGTTATTCTAAGCCACTAAGTTGGTGGTAATTTGTTATATAGCAATAGAAAACAGATGCATTAAGTTTGTCTACAATGCCCATGCCTGCAGTCATATTCTTTGGCTTCCTAGAAGGTGACCAGCAATACATGTCAGAGTGTACAATTAGAAAAAAAAATACAAACAATACATTATGTTGTGGTTCTCAAACGTGAGTGTGCATCAGAATCCCCTGGAGAAGTGTATTCAAACACAGATTTCTGGGACCCACCCCTAGAAATTTTGACTCAGTGTGCCCGAGGTGGATCCCAAGAATTTGCATTTCTGGTAAGTTCCCAGATGATGCTGTTGCTGCTAGACCAGGAACCACACTTTGAGAACACTGTGTTAAGTCATGAGCTCTCCTTTTGAAAATAATGATTTACTAAGTTGCTGTATGTTTCTCAATCTCTACTTTAATTGCTTATTTTATGATAAAAAATATTTCTATAAAATGCTCATAGAAATGCCTCTTATTGTGAGTCCAGTCCCCATTAAGTTGCCTGTCTACATTGTGCTTCTGAATTTAGTCATTTTTCCCTTTGGGACTGTTCTATACACCACCTTATTCACTATTTTTATTTTCTTACAAATAAACTTTACAGGAATCAGCTTAAGAAGCTAACAGCAATTATCTGCAACAAGAATAAGTATGATGAAAATAGAGATGTTACCTGATTGTGGTTCTTTATTAGAGAGTAAAGGAACAGAGAAAGAATTACCCCAAAGCTGCATTGTGCATCAGCTGCTAAGTCATGGCCTGCTTGGGCAGGTACGAGACCAGTGTTAGGAAATGCAATAATCCAGACAACTGGAGCTGCAGGGCACTGGCTGTCAGTTACCCCCAAACCAAGGAGAGAAGCCAAGGGGAAGACTCCCCTCTTGGGCTCCCAAAGAGGTGAATGTATTAGATAGTCACTGGCTAGAGCATCCAATTTAGTCATCTTTCCAGAACACTCACGGTCAGATGACATGATGATGAAATATCTCGTATAGAAGGCTGATCATCTCACTTGATTAAAAAGTTGTGTGACCTGATTTTTCCATAGAATTGGCCCTTAATCATGAGCCATTTTTTTGTCTTGTATTTAATATCAGTCTTGTGCCAGTTCCTTGGAATATCCAACTGACTGATCCAATCAATGAACGAGTGTTTATGGAGAGTCTACCAAGTGCCAAGCAGGAGAACATCAATTCTGTCAGCCAGTCCTTGGAATAATCCAACGTGGCCATGTGGGAGGCCACGGCAAAGGATGGCCAAGCACCTTAACTGACAGGGTTCTGTTCTTGTTCACAGTGGGGAGGGTAATTCTCCAAAATTCAGTCCTGCCACTGCCACTGGAGCAAGTAAGGGGTGTCAGGCAACTGTCACTGTGCCCTGATGTGCAGCGTGGCATGTCCACTTGACTCTGTGACACGTCTCTCCTCCTAGCCCACTGGTAGAGCAGGTCAGAGATTGGTCCCTTCTTGACCATTTGTACTCCCAGTGTTGATGATACTACACCCAGATGGTCAGAGCGAGGCTGCAATTTCAGCTCTTAACTCATGCCCCGGCTTAGCACTCTTCTCTCTTAGTGGAAGGGAAACCCTGGTAGTGCCAGGTTTATGGCTGCAGGGCTGAGAGCAACAAAACCCATCCAGGCAGCAGGACCTGCTGGTTGGGCTGACAGCCTTGGAGACTGTGTTGAACCTGGTCAGCACTGGCTCCAGCAGGGATGGGGCAGAGTCTGTATAGTGAAGTCTAACGTGGTTGGCCTTGGGTGGGATTCTGTGTGGGTCTCATCCTTTTGGATGGAATTGCATTAAATCAATGCAGTGACTCAAGATGTTTAGTTCATGAAAAACAGTAGCTATGCTTGCCAAGTATTTGTGCCTTTGATTAACTTACTTAGAACTAATTAATCACCACTTATAATGTATACTTTTTTAAACAGACTCCTCCAAAATGGGGAGGCATGAATTTAAAATAGAGTAGCCCTATTCAGATGGCTATGATCCACTTGTTAAGCACTCCTTAGCCTGAGTGGCCTAAAAATCGGAGCCTGGGGCAAAAGCTTATATATTAATTCTTGATCAAGGGCTGCCATCCTAGGGAAGGAAGAGGGGGGAAAGCAAGAGCGGCAGGAAGGAGGGAGAGCAATTCAGAGCGAGGAACCCCAAGCCAGCCACAACTCCACAGCCAAGGCACTGGCCTCATTCCCCAGGGAGCTCTGCAAAGTCTAGTGGAATATCTGTGTCTCAGAACAGCCATGGAGGGGGTTGGGCTCCCTCTTCTCCTGTGCTCCATCTTTTACTGGTCAGAGTCTGTCCTGAGAGACAGTCCCATCATGGCTAGGTTGTCGGGTCCTCTCTGCTTGGGAAGCCAGTATCTTGCGGGTCCAGGCTGACACCTGAGAGGTGGGAAAAAGATGTACACTCTCTCCAGGGGGCTGCAACTGGGGAATGAGATGAGTGAGCCACCAGGGAGATGCAGCTGTGTGGACCAGGACTCAGCACAAAGCTCATCCCTGAATTCCAAGGAGTGAGAATGCAGAAGAGAGAGCTATCTTCCTTGTTGTTTTATTAATCTTTGTTTTATGTGAAACTGATAGGAGTATTCATTTCCTAGGGCTGATGAAACAATATACCAGAAACTGGGTGGTTTCAGAAAATAGAAATTGATTCGCTCCTGGTTCTGGAGGCCAGAAGTCCAAAGTCAAGATGTGCACAGAACCATGCTGTCTCTTGGGCTCTAGGAGAGGGTCTGTTCCATGCCCCTCTCCTGGCTCCAGCACTGCTGCCAGTCCTTGGCACTCTTTGGCTGGTAGATGCATCACCCCAATCTCTGTCTCTGGCTTCATATGGCCTTTTTTCTGGTATGTGGCTGTGTCTCTGTTTTCTCTTCTTCAAAGGATACCTGTCATTGGACTAGGGCCCGCTCTGATACAGCATGATTTCATCTTAACTCATTACATCTACAAAGACCCTATTTCCAAAGGTCAACTTCTGAGGTTTCAGGTAGACATAAAATGTAGGGTGTTGAGGGAGGGGGGAAGCCAGTCCTATAAAATACGCTGAAATTAACTATCTTCCAGCAGGTAAATAGTTGATAACCTCTATATCAACTGCATATTAGACTAAATCCTATTTAATTGGACTGGAGTTGGGCTCAGGCATTTTTTCATTTACCTCAAGTAATTCTATATATATATATTTTATTATCATCAGCATTATATCACTGATTATAATGCAATTGGTAACATTTATTGGACAGTTACTGTGTCTCAGGCACTGGGCTGAGTACTTTATGTATATTATACCAATGACTCATCATTCCAGTTCTTCATCTTACAGATAGGAACACAAGAGTCAACAATGTTGGAAAATCGCCAGAGGACACAGACCTGGGAGCGGCCAAGTCAAGACATCCAGGCTGTCTGGCTCCAGAACTAGGACTCGTCTTTGCCAAGAGAACCCAGAACATATTTAGAACCTTTCATCTTCTTCTCGTCTTTAGACAGTCTCAGTTATTTAGAGAAATTGTAAACATTTTAAGATGCGTAACTGCAAGCCTTCACTACAAAGAAATAAAACAGCCTGGAGAGAGAGGGGCTGACGTATCATATGTATCTTGTACAACCTGAGGATGAGTCACCAAGGGCAGAAGTTAATAAATGACAGGAATTATTATTCAAACAGATTTAATACTTTCATGTCTCCCAATTTCACAAGTTTAGAAAAAAAGTGATGCATTTAGAAGACATCTCTCCCTCCTATTTCGAAGCTTAGCTGCCTAACCTACAGTAAAGCCTGATAGTTATGAACCTTGGAGAACAGCTTCTATGACAAGTGAGGATCTAAGAGCCTATATCTCATAATGATGCCTCTCTGCATTAAACTAAATCACCCCATTCTGGGCAATCATTGCAGATCCCCTGGTTTCCTGTCTTGGCCCTGGACCCACACTCCCTTCCCCATCAAAGGTGGGATGGGGAGAAGCAGCTGCCCAGCTTAAAACAGTGTACTTCCCAGTCATGTGCCAGGCAGAACCTTGTTGGCACCCACGTTTCTGTCTCTGTGGCTGGACCTGCTCCTCATCTTGTCTTCAGTGCCCTTCTTTTTCCTTTGATTTCTACCTAAATCCAGCTCATTGTGGGACCTTCTCTGGTCCAACCTTCTTCAAGTCTCCAGCTGCTCTTACCTCCATGGGCCATTTCTTTGTTTGAAATTATCTTACATTTAGTCGATTCCATTCTGTTTAGATCTCAGCTGCTCTACATTTGCTTCACAGAAATTGACCTTGGCTCCCAAACTATATAACAAGTACCTCCCAGGGACAGAAACAAGGTGTGTATATGCCTGGTATTCCTCCCAGCCTTCTCGGCATAATGCCAAGCAAACAAAATTGGAGTGATCTCCAACATACCTGATAATTACTCTTTATACCTGTAGTATAAGAAGTGTTAACTTTTTGACATTAAATGAAGGTGCCCAAATAGTGCCATCAGATCATGTTAAAATTTTTTCATGGTGACCCAAATTAATAATGACATCCTTTTTCCTCATGGAAACCCAAACCAAATTATTATTTATGATTACTATAATTTTTAGCCATTATTAGGCTCTGTTATGGTACTGTGTGGTTGATTAAAAATGGAAGTTGCCCATGGAGGTCTACATGTCATTGTTTTGGCCAGTGCAAAATGTAGCCAGGAGCACACCACACCTGACAGTATCAGTGATTATTATTATTATTATTATTATTTTTAATACTGATGAAGAGTTTAGTGACTCCTGATTTCAAGCTAAGAGCTGATTAGGAAAGGTTCCATTGACAACTCATCCCTAGAAAATTAAAACAGAAGCACATAGATATTGCAATTTGACTTCAGAGACTTCCCTTTCTCCTAGAACAATGCACACCGCAAATGAGGGCTATTTCCGATGGCTTATAACTAAAGTAAAATACTGTGATATCGTCTAATCTTAGAATCTCTTAAGTGAGAATTTGTTCAAGAGGGCTAACCTAGAACCCAGTGGAAAAATCCAGCTGATGGTCACCTGGGTCCATTCCCTATGGTCTGAGGAGCAAATGAGGCCCCTCTCCTGAGTTTATTTATTTATTTATTTATTTTATTTATTTATTTATTATTATTATACTTTAAGTTTTAGGGTACATGTGCACAACGTGCAGGTTTGTTACATATGTATACATGTGCCATGTTGGTGTGCTGCACCCATTAACTCGTCATTTAGCATTAGGTATATCTCCTAATGCTATCCCTCCCCCCTCCCCCTACCACACAACAGTCCCCAGTGTGTGATGTTCCCCTTCCTGTGTCCATGTGTTCTCATTGTTCAATTCCCACCTATGAGTGAGAACATGCGGTGTTTGGTATTTTGTCCTTGTGATAGTTTGCTGAGAATGATGGTTTCCAGCTTCATCCATGTCCCTACAAAGAACATGAACTCATCATTTTTTATGGCTGCATAGTATTCCATGGTGTATATATGCCACATTTTCTATGCCTTTTGAATACTTGCATTATTTTCTGCCTTGCTTCTTACCTTTGACCTTTGTAAATGGGAGATTATTTGTTGCTCTTGTTTTAAGGATAATTTAGAAATGACAACTTTAGCATATATCTAATAATTACTTGCCCCAGCATTTCATCATTACAACTCAAATTAACATAATGTCTGTTTGGATTTTAACAAAGAAGAAAAGCTAAGAAAAACCTTCACTTGGAAACCCTTCAAAAGTTTCTCATTTGGCTACAGTTACTCAGGCTTTCTGCAAAACGAAGCAATGTTATCCTTACATTACACCAACAGTTGTTTGAGTCTTTTATCAGACTGACTTTCTGCTCATGCCAAAAGGCGTCATTTTCTTTGTGTAAAAGTGACTTTGAAGATTAATAAGTAACAGAATGGGTACACATGGATTTATGAACATTTAAAATTGCTTAATGTTTTTGCATGTGTATACTTTGAAAAAAAATAGGAGATGCCCCAGTTGTTCTACATAGATTGCCTTAGGAGAAGGACATAAATGTGCGTCATTGATTCAGACTTAAGTGAATTGTTGGTGATCCACAATGATCTCCCATTGACAAGAGGTGGGTTTTTGGTCTCCCAAGGAACTACAACAAGCTTTTAGTACTTTATATCAGAAAAAAGTACTTAGCCTGTGAAGCTCATGGCTTTGGTGCCCGCTAATCTCTCTTTAAACACGAAAGATACATCGCAGGCCCAGAGCTGTTGCATCAGCAGGCAGGCAGCAAGCTGAGAGCTGATTAGGAAGCGTCAGCCCCTAGAGGCAGAGGTCTGCCCCCTGACTCTATGAGCAAGAGTCAACATCAAGCCCTTCAATCCTTGGGCCTGCAGTTTTCCCTGTACAGGAAACACAAGCGTGTGTGGATGTGTGTGCATTTCTTTAGAAACACATAATTTGTTTGTTGCTTTATTTTCTACCTTTGAAAGATGGCAAGATCCCAGTCACAAAAACAGAAACCAGGCTAGGTATTTTAACCAGAGAGGGATTTAATAAAAGCGTTAGGATTTGAGCTGTTTTGGAAGAGCTGAAGAAGAAGGAGAGGACAGGGGTCAGGAAGGACAGTTCCTGCAGTGTCCTGCCCTGCTGGGTGGCCATTACAAAGCTGGCAGCTGTGGGGCAGTATCCCTTTGCCCCCATGTGGCCAGGCACACGGGGCACTGGCTGACTCCCACAGCCACCACTGTCAGGATTGGAGCTGGAGCTGCTGCCACAGCCAGAAGCAGAATGTCCACTACCTCCCTCCTACCTTCTGATTTTGCACTAGCTCCCTACTGGTACAACCTACACAGAACCCTGCCAGTAAAGGAATCTGAGAAATGTAGTCCCCTGAGGTACAGAAAACACAGAAGGGCAGGCAGTATCTGGCCCAGATGCCTATCATAAAGCTTTAGAAAATGTTGTGTTATCGCTGCACTTTAACCATTGAAGTATTTATTTTAAATTGATTCTTATTTAAATATCAAATATAAGAGAAATCCTATTTGACTATGCCTTTTATGGGACAGTCAAGAAGATAATCAGTATTATATTAAAGAATATTTTATGGGTTTAAAGAATATTTTGGGGGCATTTTAATTCACATAGTTCAAAAGCAGCTGAATACATGTATTAAAAGGCAAGCTCTTGATAGGCCTTGCTATGTCATCTACGAAAAGCACTCCTGTTTGCCTCTGCTAGCTAACTCAGCTATTTGAAGTACAGATGGATGAAGCAAATTCTACTGTTTGGGTTTTTATATTTGACACTGGTTGATACTTTTCCAAAGCAAATGTTGCATTTCCGCTGGTAGTTTGATTTCGCTGTTTGCTTTCTGAAATTCTATGTACTTTTATTTTAGTACATAGAATAACTATGCCTGCTTAATTCCAATGAGAAATTATTTCAGATAAATAATCATCAACTTGTTTACTTAAAATAAAATTTTTGTACCTCGAAAAACCAAAATTGATAATAAAAATCCTTTAAAATGACCATGATTACAACTATTATGCATATCTGTAAATCTCTTTACTTCTTACATCTTGACTGATCATCTCAGCAACTCTGTGAGAAGCCAACTACTACTGCCTCCAAATTTTTTCCAACTATGTTAGGTGACAGGTCATTAGCTGTAAAACCAAGGCAAGAAGTTGGACTTTATAAGTAAATACGATAGTTTACTTATGAATATGTATTTATGAGACTCCTCAAAATTCATATTCCAACCACATTAATTTTCTCTTCATGCTAGAGTCTAATGCAGTGGTTAGACTGCAGCATGAAACTGGGGTAAGCATACCACTTGGAGATTTGCAAAGATGATCACAGGAATTGTCGGCCTGGATAATTTTAAGGGAGCCAGTTTTCAGATCCTCAACCTACATTCGTACTCTTTCCCAAAACAAATTCGTCTAAGAATATGTCCCTTTTAAGGATGCAGGTTCCTACCCAAAATTGTACTTTTCCCACTTTGCAAAATTAATCATGCCTCTCTCTCATCTTTCTCTGAGGCATTGACTTGAAGTTTTAAAATCTTCAGGGCAACAAACAATGGGACAATTTGACATATTGTTCCAGTATTAAGAAAGTAACTTTCTTAATGTAAGACTAATTATAAGTAAATGTAAATGACTGATGACTTAATTAAACAACTTTTTGTAAGTCTGATGGTTTCCATTTTTTTCCTTAGAGCAGAACTGTAGGAGAACTTACATGACATGCTGGCTAATAAAAAAGTAAAAATAATTTGGTGATAGATCACTGTGAATCTTGGCATACAGCTGAGAAGGAGGTTAAAGAATTGAGTAACATTTCTGTAGCAAAACTCCCTTCATTCCCACTGATTTATTTATATGGAAAAATCTTCTTGGCCCATAAATTTATAAAAATGAAAAACAGAAATAGAATTAATTTTGAGCCCTAACTCATTCTAGTAATAAATAATATATCCACTGATTTCATGACCTAACTAGAAAAACTTAGACTCGCTTTTGGCCATGGAGACATACATTTCCAACAAAATTTTACTTCTGCATAATAATTATTTCTTAAAATTTATTACATCTTATTTTTTTATCAATTATGATCTAAAGATAATTGTAATTATAACCCAAGCAGAAAAAATCCAATATTTAGAGACTTATTGCCACAGGAAAATTTTAAAAATTAAATGTCAATTTATATATGTAACTTATTGTACATAGAAGTATGGTGACAAAACCTATAAAATATTTTCTACACGAAATACATTACATTAGAATAAAAGTCTGTGGAAATGAAAATAAGAGCTCAAAGAGAAAAAAATTGATGTCAAATTTCAGACTATTAAAGAACAGTCTGTTTATAGCAATTGGACACCTGATAGCATATAATATTCATACTCTATTGCAGCCATCCCTTCCTTTTTGGCACTAGGGACCAGTTTTGTGGAAGACAATTATTCCATGGATGGAGGGAGTGGGGGCTGTTCGGGGAGATGGTTTCAGGTGAAACTATTCTACCTGAGATCATCAGGCATTAGTTAGATTCTCATAAGAAGTGCGCAACCGAGATTTCATGCGCCGCCCACAATAGGGTTCACGCTCCTATGAGAATCTAATGCCGCTGCTGAGCTGACAGGAGGCAGAGCTCAGGCAGTAATGCTCGTGGCCCACTACTGCTCACCTCCTTCTGTGCGGTCTGGTTCCTAACAGGCCACAAACTGGTACTGGTCCATGACTCGGTGGTTGGGGACTCTTGCTCTATTCAATACGCTTAAAAGAATGATGTTGGCCAGGCGCGGTGGCTCACTCCTATAATCCCAGCACTTTGGGAGTTTGAGGTGGGCAGATTACGAGGTCAAGAGATCGAGACCATTCTGGCCAACATGGTGAAACCCCATCTCTACTAAAAATACAAAAATTAGATGGGCGTGGTGGCGCACACCTGTAGTCCCAGCTACTCAGGAGGCTGAGGCAGGAGAATCGCTTGAACCCGAGAGGCAGAGGTTGCAGTAAGCAGAGATTGCTCCACTACACTTCAGTCTGGTGACAGAGCGAGACTCCATCTCAAAAAAAAAAAAAAAAAGAACGATGTTATAACAACATAGTATACTGAAAATTACATCCTTTGCAGTTATTTAAACAAAGGATATTTATGTGTTAATGTAAACATACGTATGTGATACATTTTCAAAATTTATTTAAAGAGTATATGAGCAAAAATCTTTACAGATCATTGATCTATACAAAAGATAAGGTGTTTTGAAGATCTGCATTCTGGCATGTCTCCATGTGTGTTTTCTTTGTTTTCTCAGTTTGACCTTGTCTGTGTCAATGCGTGGATGCTGGACCTCACCCAAGCCATCCTGAACCTCGGCTTCCTGACTGGAGCATTCACCTTAGGCTATGCAGCAGACAGGTAGGTACCAATGTGACAGCCATTTTATGTCACTATAATACCATGCATTAATACGGGGAGAAAAATGTTTTATGTTAACTATTAAAACAATATTTTTGCTAAATTCGCAAACAATTCTTGATTCCATCATTCATGACATCCACACTTGGTTGGTTTGACTAATTCTTTTCTTTTCAAACTTCATCTCCTTATTCCTTGAACTTCACAAAGGTCTGAGGCTGTTCCCGGTAGGACTGAGAGCATCAGAATGAAAACACAGACCTCCAAAGCAGGAACATCATGACTGGGTTGATGCACTGTTATGCTGAATACTACAGAATCAATCAATTCGATGTGCTTCAGTAACAACTTACTGATTGTGGTTTTATTAATTTAGTCATAAGATTAGCCTATTCCAAATTTGTTTCACCTAATTTTTTTTTAAACGAAATCCTTGTATTTTATTCTACAAATGTAAAACTCTGTGAAAAAAATATTTTTCCAAAAACCACTAAAGGAGTTTTTTTCTATTATTTTGTATTCATAAATGCAACTGCCCAGTGGCAGGCATGGTGAGTGTGTATATTCAAGACATCATGCTTTCTATTTAAATATTCTTCTTCCTTAAGATTATTGATGCTAGCTATTGTATTCATGTTTAACTCTATTTTTAATTCCAATTCTAACTATGAAAATACTTGCAGTAATTTAATATTCCTCTCTATCCCCCTTAGCAGGAGTAATAGGAATATAGACTGGAAATTGCTGACTCATGGCTGTATCTGGCCTAATATTGTTCTGGTTAATCCATCTCTGACTCATGGCCATATCTGGCCTAATATTGTTCTGGTTAATCGAGCCCAGCCCATGGTGGGTTCTTGTGACTGTACCATTCAGTGGGTGATACTAAGTTTACCTTTAGAGAACTGCAAACAGCAATTAATTAGCTAATAGAACAACAAAAGGCCCCATATCCTGTAGCCAATTGAAGATCTGAGTTTAATCAGACCAGTGCTTCAAAATGGGTAGAGCCTTGGGTTTCATTTTCTGTCACTTTTTCTTTCTCTTTCATGTTTCTCTCTCGCCCTCTCCACAGCTGTCCTTTGCATGTGAGTTTCTGCTGGATCCTTTCATGTGTGATGCCCTTTCCCCTTTTTCTTCTTTTTATCGATGTCCTTTTCTCCTGTTCTACTTCTAGCCCTTTCAAGCTTCATCTTTCCTTTCCTAATTTCCCCCACATGCCACTCTTTTTTTGCTGGCTACAATTTGGAACTGTGCAGTTTAAATATTTATTTATTTTGTTTTGTTTTTACTCTTTCTAATTTGGATATTAGGTTTTGCTTCATCTGTGTTTTTTTTCTCTTACTCAGTCAATAACCATATCTCCAAACTAAATTAACGTTACTAAAGTGGGGAATTTCCCCTTCCTATATTCTCATAAGTGATTGAGCATCTGTCCTCATATAGGACTTGCTGCCTTGGAGGGGAGGGGCCAGACCTGGGAAAAAGAGGAGCCATGAATAACTCTGCTTCCTACATTTGGCTTCTTCTCTTCCTCCATATCCATGATTTATATATGTGAAGGAAGAACAAGAAATAACTTAATAGGCCATTTGTCAATGAGAGTACAGTGTAGGAAGGGTGGAAAGTGAATATAAAATCTAGATTGGGGCTTCTGGTTTCCTGTTCAGCCTATAAGGAGCTTAGAATTTGCCACTCAGTCTTGACAACAAGTAAAATGCTGAACAAACTGAAAAATCAATAATTCTTCTCAGATCCATAAGAGAAGTGAGATTACAGGGCAAACTACTACCTTCAGCATCACCCCGCACCCCCAACCCCACTAAATAGAAAGACAGGAGAATACAGAGAATCATAACACAGGCGCAGAAACCTCCTTGAGAGAGCCAGGGTAGATAAACATGAACTGTAATTGATGAATTCCTGGAGGATCACTGTGGATGACCTGAAGGATTAAAAACTCTAGAGGGACTCACTCAAAGGAGGGCCCAAGCTTTTGTGATTTTTTTTTTTTTTTTTTTTTTTTTTGCCACCTGAAGCTCTACAAGGTTCCAAAGGTGAATATTAAGGAAAATCCCTCATGCTCTGGCAGCCAGAGGGGAAAAGGAACAATTTTGAAATATGCCAGAATATCGTTCTTAACAATGTCTGCCCTCAGGAGAAGATGTTTAACCAGAGCCTAATCTTCTGGGGTTTTCTGAGAGCCTCATTGATCTGGGGGAAGGGAAATACCAACTCCAGCCCCTTCTAGCCTTCCAAGTGGAGAAAGAGAAACACCAAATTCTAGCCTCCTCTAGCTTTCAACTTGGAAGAAGGGAAATACCCAGCTCCAGCCCCCTCTAGCCTTTCTCCCCTAGTTCAGAGGAGAGGGATAGAGAAGCATTTGTGAAGTTCACCGTTTAGAGACATAGGTTCACTAAAAGACTGAGAGCTACTCATAGAACCACAGAATGCCTTCCCTCCCCCAACACCTCACCACCACATTACTAAAGGTCTATTTATAGCAGTTCCGTTTACCCAGTACACCATGTCCACCTATCAAGAAAAAATTACAAGACATACTAAAAGCCAAAACACACACACACACACACACACACAGTTGAAGAGACAGAGTAAGCATCAGAACTAAATTCAGATATGGCAGGGATGTTGGAATGATCAGGCTAAGAATGTAAAACAACTATGCCAAGAAGTCTGATGCATAAAGTAGCATGCAAGAACAGTTGGGCTATGTAAGTAGAGAGATGGAAATTCTAAAAAAAGAAACCAAATGAAATGCTAGAGATCAAAAACACTGTAACAGAAATGAAAAACGTTGTTACTGGGCTTATTAGGAGATTGGGCATAGCTGAGGAAAGAATCTCTGGCCTTGAGGATATCCCAGTAGAAACCTCCAAAACTGAAAAAAAAAAAAAAAAAAAAAACCCACACACACAATAACAACCACCTGAAAAAGCAGAACAGAATGTTCAATAACTGTGGGACAATTACAAAAGATATAATATATGTGTAATAGGAATACCAAAAGGAGAATAAAGAGAGCGAGAAATAGAAAAAATATTTTAAACAATAATGACTGAGAATTTTTCAAAATTAATGGCAGACACCACAGATCCAGGAAACTCAAAGGAAATCAAGCAAGATAAACATAAAAAAGTATACCTAGTTATATCGTAGTCAAACTACAGAAAGCCAAAGATAAAGGAAAAATTCTGAAAGAAGAGTGGGGGGATAATGTCTTACTATAGTAAAAGAGCAATGATAAAAATTACACCCTACTTCTTTTCAGAAACCAGGTAAGCAAGAAGAAAGTGGAATACTTAAAGTGTCAAGAAAAAAAATCCAATCTAGAATTCTATACTGTGCAAAGTTATCATTTAAAAGTGAAGGAGAAATAAAGACTTTGTTAGACAAAAATTGAGGGAATTTGATGCCTTGTAATAAATGTTAAAAGAAATTATTTAGAGAGAATGAAAATGATCTAGGTTAGAAATCCAGATCTACATAAAGGAAAGGCATTGGAGAGGAATAAGCAATTGAGAATATGTTTCTTATTCTCAATTGATCTAACAGATAATAGTTTATTCAAAATAATAGCAACAATGTGTTTGGTTGTGTATGTTTATATATATAAGCATACATAAGCATATATAGAGTATTTTTTGTTATAAGGTACTCATACTACTCATGAAGTGATACAGTGTTATTTGAAAGTGGATTTGAATTAGTTATAAATGTATATTGTAAACTCTAAAGCAACTACTAAAAAAAGATTTTTTTTAAAAAAGCATGACTGATATGCTAAAATGAAGAAAATGTGGAATCCTATAAACTGCTGTTCAATGAAACCACAAAAGCCAGGAAAAAGTGTGGAATACAAACATAAGAATAAAAAATAAGGGAAACAAATAGAAGATGATAACAAATACGGTAGACATTAATCCAACCATGCCAATACTCACTTTAAATGTAAGATGGTCTAAATGAGCCAACTAAAAGACAGAGATTTTCACAGTGGATCAACAAACAAGACCCAACCATATATGTTGTCTACAAGAAATCCACTTTCAATATACAGACACATATACACTAATAGTAAATGGATGGAGAAAACTATACCATGATAGCAGTAATCAAAGTAAAGCAGAAGTAGCTATACTATTATCAGCAGAGCAGACTTCAGAGGAAGGAAAGTTATCAGGGATAAAAACGGGCATTATATAATGACAAAGGGGTCAATTCTCCAAGAAGCCAATAATCCTTAATATCTATGTGTTTAGTAGCAGAGCACAAAATTATAAGAGGCAAAAACTGTGATAAAACTGGAATGAGAAATAGATTAATCCACGATTTCACTGGAGACTTCAACATCCCTTTGTTGGAAATGGTCAGATTCAACAGGTAAAAAACCTATAAAGATATAATTGAACTCAACAGCATCATCAATCAACTGTATCTAATTTTCCTCTTTAGACAACCTTATCTAACAACAGCAGACTTAACATTTTTTTCAAGTTCTAATGAAATATTCACATGCAATATTCAAGATAAATCACATTCTGGGCCATAAAACATATATTAGCAAATTTGAAGAAATAAAAATTATACAATCTCTGCTCCCAGAACATAGTGGAATTAAACTAGAAATTCATAACAGAAGGATAGATGGAAAATCCCCAAATACTTGGGGATGAAACAACACATCTATAGTAACACATAGGTCAAAGAAGAAATCTCAAGAGTAATTAAAAAGTATAGTAAACAAAATGAAAATGAAAACACTCAAGACTTTTGGAATGCAACAGAAACAATGTTTAAAGGGAAATTTATAGCATTGAATACATATATTAGAAAAGAGGAAATATATAAAATCAATAATCTAAGCTTTCACCTTAGGAAACTGGAGAAGAGCATATTAAACCCAAGGCAAGTAGAAGAAAAAAAAATACAAATTGGAGCAGAAATCGATAAAATTAGAAACAGGAAATCAAGGGAGAAAATAAAACCAAAAGCTGGTTATTTGAAACGATCAAAAAAAATCAATAAGCCTCCAGTCAGACTAAGAAAAAAGAAAGAGGAGAGAGAGAGAGGTTGAAGACATAAATTACTAATATTAGAAATAAAAGAGGGGACATTTTGACGGATCCCATGGACATTAACAGGATAATAAAGAAATACTATGAACACTCTGTGTTCACAAATTTGATAACCTACATGAAATGGACCAATTCCTTGAAAGATTACAATCTGCCAAAACTCACCCAAGATTATATAGACAATCTGAATAGGGCTATATCTATTAAATAAATTGAATCAATAGTTAATTACTTTTCAAAACAGGAAGCACCAGGCCCAGATGGGTTCACAGGTGAATTTGCCAAACGTTTAGAGAAGAAACTCTACCAATTCCCTAAAAGCTCTTTCCAAAGATAGAAGTAGAGGGATTGCTTTCTAACTTATTCTGAGACCAGCATTACTTTAATACCTAAATTGGACAGACATTACAACAAAAGAAAACTACAGACTAATATATTTCATGAACATAAGTGCAAAAATCCTCAACAAAAATTTGCAAGTAGAATCCAATAGTGTATAAAAAAAATTATACACCACAACCAAATACTGTAGCATACCAAGTGCGTAGTATCCCAAGTATGTAAAACTGGTTCAGCATTCTAAAGTCAATTAATGTCATCCATCAATCACATCGACAAACTAAGGAAGAAAAAATGACATGATCATATCAATAGATACAGACAAAGTATTTGTCAAAATCCAACATCTATATATGACAAAAGCTCTCAGTAAACTAGAAATATAGGGGAACTTCCTCAACTTGATAAGGAATGTCTATTAAAAAAACTACAGTTAACATCATACTTAATGACGATAAACTGTACAGAAGCTTTCTCACTAAGATCAGAAACAAGCCAAATATGTCATCTCTAATAACTTCTTTTCAATGCCATGCTAGAAGCCCTCGCTAATACAATAAATAAGACAAGTAAAGAAAATAACAGGTATACTGATTGGAAAGGAAGAAATAAAAACTGTCTTTGTTCACAGATGTCATGATTGTCTATGTAGAAAATCAAAAGAATTAACAACAACAACAACCAAAAAAAAAAACTCCTGAAACTAATAAGTGAGTATAGTGAAGTTGCAGGGTACAAGGCTAATACACAAAAGTCAACTGCTTTCCTATGTACCAACAATGAACAAGTAGGATTTGAATTTAAACACATAATGCCATTTACATTAGCACCACAAGAATACACAACACTTAGATATAAATCTAACAACATATGTACAAGATTTATGTGAGGAAAAGTGCAAAACTCTAATGAAAGAAATTAGAGATGATCTAAATAAATGGAGAGATATTCAACATTCATGGATAGGAAGACTCAATATTGTCAAGATGTCAGTTCTTCCCAACTTGATGTATATATTCAATACAATACTAATCAAAATCCTACAGAGTTATTTTGTGGATATTGACAAACTAGTTCTAAAGTTTATATGTAGAGACAAAAGACCCAGAATAGCCAACGCAGTACTGAAGGAGAAGAACAAAGCCAGAGGACTGGCACTACTTAACGTCAAGACTTACCGTAAAGCGACAGTAATCACGACAGTGTGGTATTTGTGAAAGAATAGACCTCTACCAATAGTTCAGTGGAATAAAATAGAGGGCCTAGAAATAGACCCACATAAATATAGTCAACTGACCTTTGACAAAGCAGAAAACAAAAGGTACTGGAACAACTGGACAACCACATGCAAAAAAAAAAAAAAAATGAATCTAGACACAGACCTTACACCCTTTAAAAAAAATGGATCACAGACCTAAATGTAAAATACAAAACTGTAAAACTCCTAGAGGATGGGATAGGAAAAAAATCTAGATGACCTTTTAGATACAACACCAAAAGCATAATCCATGAAAAAAAGAACTGATAAGCTGGACTTCATTAAAATTGAAATTTTCTTGTTGTGAGAGAGACATTATCAAGAGAACAAATGAAATGACAAGACACAGACTGGGAGAAAATATTAACAAAAGGCAAATATTTGATAAAGAACTGTTATCCAAAATATATAAAGAACTCTTAAAACACAACAATAAGAAAATAAACAACCCAACTAAAAAGCGGGCCAAAGATCTTAACAGATAGCTCACCAAAGAGAGTATACAGATGATAATAAGCATATGAAATGATGCTCTACGTCATATATCATCAGGGAAATGCCCATTAAAACAGCAGTGAGATACCACTACATATCTATTAGAATGGCCAAAATCCAGAACAATGCCAACACCAAATGCTGACTAGGATGTGGAACAACAGGAATTCTCATTCATTGCTGGTGAGAATGCAAAATGAAAGGTGACTTTAGATGACAAAATTCTTACACATTTTTGTAATTCTTACAAAATTAAACATACTTTTACTAAATGATCCAGCAATTGTACTCCTTGGTATTCCAATTCCAACCCAAAAAAGTTGAAAACTCATGTTCACCCAAAAACCTACACATACATGTTTATAGCAGCTTTCTTCATAATTGCCAAAACTTGGAAGCAACCAAGATGCCCTTCCATAGGTGAATGGACAAACTGTGATACATCCAGACTATGGAATATTATTCCATGCTGAAAAGAAATGAGCTATCAAGCTATGAAAATACATAGAGGAAACGTAAGTACTTATTACTAAATGAAGAAACTGATCTGGAAAGGCTACATACTATAAGATTTTAACTATATGACATTTTGGAAAAAGCAAAACTATGGAGACAGTAAAAAAAAGGATCAGTGGTTGCTAGAGGGTGGGGAGAGGGAGGGATGAACAGGCAGAGCACAGAGGATTTTTAGAGCAGAGAAACTATTCTGTTAGATACTTTAATGGTGGATACGTGTCATTATACACATGTCAAAACACATAGAATTTGCAACATCAAGAGTGAACCCAAATGTAAACTGTGGACATTGGGTGATTATGATGTGTCCCTGTAGGTTCGTCAATTGCAGCAAGTGTACCACTCCCATGGGGAATGTTAACAAGGAGTATGCTGTGCATGTGTAGGGGCAGGGGACAGAGTCCACTAAAAAAAATTTTAGATAAACTAAGGCTACTTCCATCTCTACTCTGCTGACTCAAGCAAGATGCTATATGTACATATTTTATGGAAATTTTTATGAAAAGATGTAATAGAATCAAATCTCTTAATGGACATTGATAGCAAACATTTACCAGACAATAATTTGACACCACTATGCTGAACCAATTCACACCAGTCTCTCAGAATGTTGTGCATGTTACCTTGTTCCTTTTCCTAAACTATTTAATAACACATATGCCAATGGTGAAAATAAAATACAAAATTTAAGAACAACTGACATTGGCTGTGAACTTTGTAGTTTATAAAACACTTTCACATTAACATCTCATTTGATCCTCTCTACAACCTCCCTCTAGAAAAAGGTGGGAATAAACAAAAACAAGCAAGCAAAACCTTCGTTTTGAAGACCTTAGGAATTAGCCCAAGGTCTTATGACTGGTAGATGGTTGAGGTGAGATTCAAGGCAAGGCCTTCTGGCCATAACACACCATTCCTTCTTCTTTCTGCCTCTCTGTCCTTATGACTTGACACATAAAAAATGCTAGAAAGTGTCACATCTGTACCACCGGGGAGACTCTGTGTGAAACAATAGTTTCAAGGAGGGTCATCTTTTCAGAAACTGCAATCACAAAGGATGCATTCTGTACTTTAAATTTTGTAATTCCAGCCTAGGCAACATAGGGACACCCTGTCTCTACAAAACATCTTTAAAATAAAATGATATAATGTAATACAGTATAATATGGTATGATATAATATTTTATGTTATATTTTCCCATTGTGTTGAAGAAAATGTTTAAGGTGAGCTCTTTTCCTGTCTTTCTCAAAAAGGTATGGCAGGATCGTCATTTACTTGCTATCCTGCCTTGGTGTTGGCGTCACTGGGGTTGTGGTGGCCTTTGCACCAAACTTCCCTGTGTTTGTGATCTTCCGCTTCCTGCAAGGTGTATTTGGAAAGGGGACGTGGATGACTTGCTACGTGATTGGTAAGACATTCTTACACCATCTTCTCTATTTGGAAACTAGGGCCAGATAGCCAACAAATGCTAGTTAATCAACCTTCCTCTTCCTCATGTGTCCTTTAACAAAGGAGGTTTCACTGCAGCTACAGTAATTATTTCTGCAGATGGGAGAGCTCAGAGGTAGGATTCTGAGTGCTTTAGAAACTAAAATACCACCTTACTTTGGGAGCCAAATATAGAATATTATAAAGCACTGGGGCAAACTACTTTTATGTACTTCTACACTGTTATAATATGGTTTCTAGCTTTGCTTTATAAGAAATTAATTTTTATAAAATCTCAGTAGCTTCTTGAGGCATTTTTGAGGCATTTTTAAAGCATTTTCTCTGCACTGTGTTATGTGATACAGTTTGAGATTACTTTCCTGTGTTGCCAACTCTCCTCTTTCTGTACAAGTGGGAAACTTTTTACTATGGGAGAAATAGGTTCTAAAAATGAGAAGTTCATTTGTGACCCTTGGATACCTTCTATAGCCAGAAAGTTTGACCTTCTGGTGATGGAAGAAAGAAAAAGTTCACTTTACTTTTTTCTCATGTCCCTTGGGAAAGCCCTGGCTACTCCTTTTGGTTCCATTTCTAGCTTGGGACCAGCCACTTACTTTAAGAGTAGTGGTGGATTTCTGACCAGGAAAATGTGAATTCTCATCTTAGATTATTGCTGCAGATCTTTGCACTTCCACTCTCCTCTGTCACTGCTATACAATCTCCAAGCAGTGCGCATTTTGGAGACCCCTGAAGACCTTTCTGTGAGTGGGAGAAGGAGAGAAGATGATTAGAGGGATTGGTTGTCACTGTCTGGAACAGAAGGAGTAACATTGGAAGGCAAGGCATTTTTAAGGAGACTCAGCCTAGGTGAATCTTCAAAGTTGTGATCTGAGGGCAACAATAAAGTAGCCTATCCCAGGATAATCAGAATATGAGAAACCAATTAGTGGGAAGGGGCAGGAAAGGAAAAGATTTCAGCAATAAAATTTCCCATGTGATTTTTAGAGCATATCCTGTCAATGAAAAGTATAACACTGTGGAGAGAATTATCATTTAATAGAAGTTGTCTTGTGATAACGAAAAGTCTTTGTAGAGTCTTATATTTATAATGAATCTTCTAAGGAGACTAGAATGTGCATATCTCTAGAGATACAGTGATAAAATGTAGCCATCTTAACATATTTATGTTTTGATAATTACAATTACCTTTTAAAATAATCATCACTGAAGCTTTCCTAAAACCAACACAGATATTCTTCGTATTTCCCTATTGTACCCAGAAGAGTGCTGGTCTGGGTGCATAAGAGGAACATGGCAAGTGCCTGTGATAAATGGCAGAGGTGAGAGTGGGAGAAAAGCATTTAGTATCAAGAAGGACACCTCCATCCTTTCTGCAAGTGTGGAAGCCTCCGTATCTGAGTGCTAGCGTGTTCTAGCAATGCTGATGGATGTAACAGGTGTAACATCTCTGTATTTGTTTGTTTATTTTGGAGCTGACCTTGTGCTTCTGTGACCTCTTGTGTTTGTTTTCCTTTAGTGACAGAAATAGTAGGTTCGAAACAAAGGAGGATTGTGGGAATCGTGATTCAAATGTTCTTTACCCTTGGAATCATAATTCTCCCTGGAATTGCCTACTTCATCCCCAACTGGCAAGGAATCCAGTTAGCCATCACGCTGCCCAGCTTTCTCTTCCTCCTTTATTACTGGTAATGTGGTTTTGGTTATCATCATATTTATACTGATTCTGCAGAAATTAGACTCCAAACAGACATGAAAATGAAAGCAATAAAGAAAATTTTCTTTTTTTTTTTTTTTTTTATTATACTCTAAGTTTTAGGGTACATGTGCACATTGTGCAGGTTAGTTACATATGTATACATGTGCCACGCTGGTGCGCTGCACCCACTAATGTGTCATCTAGCATTAGGTATATCTCCCAATGCTATCCCTCCCCCCTCCCCCGACCCCACCACAGTCCCCAGAGTGTGATATTCCCCTTCCTGTGTCCATGTGATCTCATTGTTCAATTCCCACCTATGAGTGAGAATATGCGGTGTTTGGTTTTTTGTTCTTGCGATAGTTTACTGAGAATGATGGTTTCCAATTTCATCCATGTCCCTACAAAGGATATGAACTCATCATTTTTTATGGCTGCATAGTATTCCATGGTGTATATGTGCCACATTTTCTTAATCCAGTCTATCATTGTTGGACATTTGGGTTGGTTCCAAGTCTTTGCTATTGTGAATAGTGCCGCAATAAACATACGTGTGCATGTGTCTTTATAGCAGCATGATTTATACTCATTTGGGTATATACCCAGTAATGGGATGGCTGGGTCAAATGGTATTTCTAGTTCTAGATCCCTGAGGAATCGCCACACTGACTTCCACAATGGTTGAACTAGTTTACAGTCCCACCAACAGTGTTTTCAAACATCTCTAAAATGGCTACATGCTTTGAGAATTTTTAGAGAATTTTAGGATTTAAAGAGAGTATTTGTTGATGATTTTATTAATAATTGTGAAGAAAAATGAATTAATAAAATACCAGAACGCAAAATTTTAAGTAGGGTACTGCATTATGTTTTGTTTTGTAATAAATAGCTTCATGAAAACTATAAAGTAACCAACCATATCTGCCAGTATTTCAACATGCAAATTAAATGCAATGAAGTCTATTTGTTTCTCTGTGTGTTCTATAAAGCAAATGAATATTACTCAGAAATTCTCTGAGGAATAAGGAAATGTTAAGAGCATCAAAAAATTACATTATCAAAAAGCAACAGAAAAGCATTTGATTTTTGTTGTTGCTGTTTTGAGATGGAGTCTCACTCTGTTGCCCAGGCTGGAGTGCAGTGGTGCGATCTCGGCTCACTGCAACCTCTGCCTCTCAGATTCAAGTGCTTCTCCTGCCTCATCCTCCCCAGTAGCTGGGATTACAGGCATGCACCACCACACCCAGCTAATTTTTGTATTTTTAATAGAGACAGAGTCTTACCATGTTGGCCAAGCTGGTTGCAAACTCCTGACCTAAAATGATCCACCCACCTCGGCCTCCCAAAAGGCTGGGATTACAGGCCTGAGCCACCACACCCAGCCAGCATTTGATTTTTATTGGAATGAACATGTTTTAATGATTCTTCTAATTTAATTTTAATATATGGGCAAGTCAGTTTACATAAATCAGATTCCTAAGCTTTTCTTAATATTTACTAAATCCCAATTCTTTTCATATATGGAATCAATATATTGTAAGATAGCCTGGTTTTGCAAGAGCAATGTCATGTTGATTATTTTGATGAGCAATGATCCAATTATCAAGCTAGCATTTTTCCCCATCCATTATAACCTTGCAGGAATAATCTGTATTTCAGGGACCTATTATCAACTCTTATTGACTCCTAAATGTATATCTAATTGCAAGATCCATTTTGATAGAAAAACTCAAGGCAATAGATTTTAGCGTTTGAAATTCCTAGACATAACTCACAACAGCCTCCTTCTTTGCCAGGGTGGTCCCTGAGTCTCCCCGTTGGCTGATTACTCGGAAGAAAGGAGATAAAGCATTACAGATCCTGAGACGCATTGCTAAGTGCAATGGGAAATACCTCTCATCAAATTACTCAGAGGTAATTTCTTTCAGTATGAGTAACAAATATTGCTAAAGCTGGTGAATTGATTTTGTTGCTTCTTGTGTACTTAATGTTGCTTCTTAAATTTATATACAAAATATGCATATTATATATATATATGTATGTATGTATATATGTATACACACACACACACACTACCAAACATCTGGGAAATCATTTTCAGTTTGACTTAACTGAAAAAAATCTAGGGAAAAATCATAGGACATATTAAAGAAGAAATGATTATGAAGCTCTATTAGCATTATAGCCAAGGTTAATTGATCATTTCAGTACATATTTTAATAATTGCACCAAGTTACTTGAATTATTATACTTTACTTACTGTAAGCCCCATAATATTGAATCATTCATCTTGATTGTACAAACTGTAAAACTTTTTTTGACTTTTAATTTAAATCTTTAAGTTTGGCCCTGAAAAAAAATCTGTTTATTCATACCAGAGCTTGAGCAGTAATGTAATATTTCAGCCTCTAAACTCCTATATGCTGGTCTTTCTCCCTTTCTTCTTTTCTTCCTCCATTCCTTCCTTCTTCCAAGAAAGGCTTTTTGGATGCCTCTGCATCAGTGTACCAAGAAATAGGGGAGGGCCGGGTGTAATGGCTCACTCCTATAATCCCAGTGCTTTGGGAGGCTGAGGTGGGAGGATTGCTTGAGCCTAGAATTCTAGACCAGCCTGGGCAACATAGCAAGACCCCATCTCTACAAATAGAAAGTTTTAAAAACTATGTGGGCATGGTGGCACGCACCTGTTGTCTCAGCTACTCAGGAGGCTGAAGCAGGAGGATCATTTGAGCCCAGGACTTTGAGACTGCAGTGAGCCATGATCACACCACTGCCCTCCAGCCTAGGAGACAGATCAAGATGCTGTCTCTAAAAAAGATTTTAAAAAAATGAAATGGGACAAAAATTAAAAGCTTTTGCCCTTTGGAATATTTGATATGCACTTGAGGATATAACATATATTTAAAGCAACCCATAAATAATTAGAGAATAGCATATAAAGAAAAATATGATGATGTTTTAGCTCCAAAGACTAAGTGACTACAGAATAACAGAAAGGTTGTTATAAAAGGAATGTTAGAGAAGAATTTTTGGATGATATGAATCTTGATTTAAGACTAGGTTGTCAACATTGTTTTCTTCATAGCATTCAGTTTGATTTCACAGGAACCTTCTGATAAGAACGTTCTGATAAGAACTGGGTTTTGGGGCTGGGTGCGGTGGCTCACACCTGTAATCCCAGCACTTTGGGAGGCCAAGGCAGGTGGATCACCTGAGGTCAGGAGTTCAAGACCAGCCTGGCCAACATGGTGAAACCCCATCTCTACTAAAAAATAGAAAAATTAGCGAGGAGTGGAGACGAGCACCTGTAATTCCAGCTACTTGGGAGGCTGAGGCAGGAGAATCACTTGAACCCAGGAGGCAGAGGTTGCAATGAGACAAGATTGCCCCACTGCACTCCAGCCTGAGCAAAAAGAGTGAAACTCTGTCTAAAAAAGAACTGGGTTTTGTTGGTTCTATTGTCCCCTCCCCAGCCCTTGAAGCTTGGTCATGTATATTTGGATTTCTGCCTTCTTCCTCTCTCTTATATTAAGTGGCAAGCAGTAGGCTCTTTTCCAAAGGTTTCAACTGAACAGATGTCACTGGTGCAATGGTGCAAGTACATTAATGATGTACCTTGAGGTTTACAGATCATAAAATGTGTGGTAAAGATAAAGCATGATCTTTTTAAACCACTATGATTAGTCCATCCTTGTCACTCTTTGAGTGAACACATTTGAGCTGTGTGTTCCTTTTAGGGAAAAATAATATACCCCTGTTTCCCAGCTTGCACTCATCCATTGTCTATAGTCCTCATAGCCAGGTCAAAGATCTGATCATTTGTATTCAATTTTAATCATCCAGTGAATAATCTCTGCTCTTTTGCACACATAGTCCAGAGGTAAGTCCAAGGTTTTGATCTTGATTTAAAGGTCTAAATATAGAAATATATTTAGGAATATAGAATATAGAAGAAACAAATATAGAAGGGAATATAGAAAAATAGGATCATAGAAAATAAATAGGAATAAAGAAAGGAATATATAAAAATAGGAATATATAAAGTGTTCTAGAAAAATAGGCATCTAGAAAGGAATATAGAAAAATAAGAATATAGAAAGGAATATAGAAAAATAAGAATATAGAAAGGAATCTAGAAAGGAATATAGAAAAAACAGCTGTGTGCTGGTAGCTTGTGAAATATAATGTTGGATTAACCAGGCATGTCATGTGTGATGATAGTGAGTATCACTGAGAGATGAGTCTGATTCCCCGAAGCAGCTGCTGTTACACATCCCATGAGTGTACAGTTTAGCACTGCTCCCACAGACCCACTGACCCAGCTTTATTCATGAGCACCGTAGAGATCATGACAACAGGTAAGTAGTTCAATGTTCCACATGGCTGTGCTTATGAGAGATCATGAACTATGGGATCCAGTGGCTTCCAAGTCATTTTAATTTTAATATGGAAATTTCCAAACATACTCAAAAATACAAAAATAGTTGAATGAATCTCTATGCATATCCCTCAGCTCCAACAGTTACCAACTCCTGATCAATCTTAGTTTTTCTATACTCTGCCTAGTTTCCCTATCCACTGAGTAGGAATCAATCCAGCCATCATAGCATTTCATCTTGTAATATTTTCCTCTAAAGTAGGAACACATAGGTATCTCTGGAACTATGTGTGCACTATCTTCAGGACACTGCTGAAGGAGGAGCAAGAACTATTCCTGTGGTTCTTAAAATTCAATACAAGTAATCACACCTTTGATCCACCTGTGGGGACTGATCCCTCTTGTGGGAGCAAAGATGGGGCCATGGTATATAAAATATAAATATAAAACTAATATCAATGTCATTGTCCTAAGAAAAATAACCATGATTCCTTAATATCAAGTCAGTGTTCCACTTCCCTGATTGTCCTACAATGTTTCACCCTGTCTATGTGCATTAGACTCCTCCTGAAGTTATGGATTATGAATTGTTGATCTCTTTGGGTTTATTTAATTCATAGGTTCCTGCCCTTTTTCATTTCATTCCAACTTTGGGAATAAAAAAATTCCTGGGGTTTTTCTCCTGAAGAATTTCCACAGTCTAAATTTTGTTGATTATATCTGTAGGATCCTTTAACACGTTTCTCTGTCTTTTATATTCCCTGTCAATTGGTAGTTAGATCTAGAGCTTAATCAAGTTCAAGTTTAATATTTCTGGCAAGACTACTTCATAAGTGGCTTAGTACATTTCCATTGAGAGATACCTGGTAGCTGCTTGTCTCTTCTTTTGGAACATTACTTGCCACTGATAATCACTGCCTGGATTTACTAACTCATCAGAGGTTGCCAAATGACAATATTCTCATCTTATCATTACTTCTTCATTTATTGCTGCAGTGCTTAAATAAAGACCAATTTCTCCCATCAACTCTTGGTGACACTGAGATATAGCTCATATAGGGAAGACAAGACATATGCATCATTTTTTCTTTTCCAAATAATAAATTGGCTCCCTACATCCTCCCAAAGTGATTAATGAGTTGAGTGTGTTTATTTAAACATAGTTTATATGTTTCAATCCTTTGCAATTGCATTAGTCTGTTCTCACACTGCTATAAAGAACTGCCCAAGACTGGGTAATTTATAAAGGAAAGAGGTTTAATTGACTCACAGTTCTGCAGGGCTGGGGAGGCCTCAGGAAACTTACAATCATGGCAGAAAGGGAAGCAAACACGTGTTTCCTCACATGGCAGCAGGCAGGAGAAGTGCCGAGCAAAGGGGAAAGCCCCTTATAAAACCATCAGATCTCATGAGAATTCACTCACTATCATGAGAACAACATGAGGGTAACCATCCCCATGATTCAATTACCTCTCACTGGGTTCCTCCTATGACACATGGGGATTATGGGAATTACAATTCAAGATGAGATTTGGGTGGGGACACAGCCAAACCATGTTAACAGTTATTTTGGTGAGTACTCTTTCGGATGCTCAAATTGCTCCATCTTTGGGCACACGCAGCTTATCCAGAGTCTGCCACCCTCTAGTAGCTTCTGAATACCTCCTTGCTCTTTAGCACGATGAGATTTTCCAGTCTCATCTTGTAAGTTCCAGTCTCACACATGGAATCACCTATTTCTCCAAGGGAGCTTTGGTTTTTGAAACATATGTCTTCAAACCGAACCTACCCATCTTTAATCTTTTTAATTGTACAGCGTAAGCAGAAAAGCAAAGTGTTATCTTCAAGAGAAGGATTTAACATTTAAGTTTAAAACACCTTGCTAAAAGCGGAATTCAGCCACATTATGGGCCACGTCATAGTTTTCCATCTCAAAGGTCCTTATGTCCCCACAAGCACCATCCTGAGCAGAAAACCTCTTCGTGATGACGCAGAAGGACTGGCCAGCAGGGTAGGCACTGTACTTGAACTCCAACCCCAAAAATCACAGCAGGATTCCATTATAGGTTTTGTGCAATGACAGGTATGACCAGTATAAATTACTCATATTTTGTGATTCAAATACATACTGTCCGTGTCTATGTTAGGATAGCCTTGAAACTGTATGTTTACACAGTTACTTTCACATTAACCCACATCCCTCTCTCTGGATACAGTTTCCAGGATGTTCAGACCCACGACTGAAGTTCCCAGCAATCTCTTTTTACTTTTCACAGAATCTCTCTTCAGTAACTTCTGACTTTTAGAAGACGTTATCACTGTGTAAATGACCTCATCCTTCACGACCTCTCTAATTCCCACCTCATTCTCAGGGTGCCCATTATAGGGTGCGGAGAAGGTTAGAATGGATTTGAAAGAATGTGGTTGGATTCAAAGAAGCCCTAGGAGACCCAACAAGTCAGCATTTTTCTCTTGTGAAAAGAACCACCTGCCAACCCCAGCCTGTTCCATTGCTGACATCAGAGGATCAGGTATATTTAGGAGAAGCTAAGGACCTAGCTTAAATCTACCCAAGGATGTTCCATATTACAGATAAGCTAAATTAACTACAAACTAAGATTACACCAATCTCCAGAGCTTTAGTGAGAGAAGGGAAAATATGAGAGGAAAATAGTATGACAGATTTGATCCAACATTGAAACAGGTGCATTTTGAGGGTTGTTTATCCTGTAAATCATCTCAGTTACAGTTCACATGGATGTTACTCATTTCATGGGTAGGCAAACTCTGTCTCTGCCTCACTTGTTCCTAGGCTTCCATTTGCCAAGGTTTCTGGCTGGCCTCTGGCTTTGTTGAAGAGATAGCTAGCACTAGCAGGGAGAAATACAGGTGATCAGAGTCCAGGCTCTCTGAACATACAAACAGTATAACTGTTGTTCACTAAATGGAAAAATCCCAAAATCAAAAACCAATGCAAAACAGTGAAGTGGCTTGAGCTCCTAGGAGGTTAGGTAGAAATTAAAGAGAATCAGTGGATGGGTAGAATTTTAAGCAGTAGGTAGTTACCCAATGTAGAACGAGGATTAGCTTAGACACCTAGTCTGGTGGTTCTCAGCCTTTCAGCATTTGCATACGATAACTTTTAAGGCTTACTTAAAAAAAAAAAACAAATTATGGGTAAGTCTACAATAATGATAGCACAGGCACAGCTACAGCATGACAGCGTCTCACAATGTCTTCAGGAGCATCCACAATCATCCACTGACCCCAGAGAGCATGTCAAGGATGAGAACTGCTTTCTGCCCTGGCCACACCCTCTGTTTTGCTCATAATGCAAAGTTCTTTTACAGTGCAGTAAATGTGAAATTTTTCTTTGGTATTAGTTAGACATTATTCCTGCTTGTTACTTGTAGTGCCCTGTTTCTTGCCTTACACCTGGTCACTAACCACTCAATTCAACTTTTCACTCTCATATGATAGACAAGTAATAGTACTGTGTGCAAGTGTGAATAATGGATGGAGTAACAATGCTTATCTGAGGATATGGCCATTGCCCCAGGTACTGAATTTGTGTGCTTGTCAAAATAAAAAAGAATGGGCAAGTACTTCAGAGTGTCCACACTTCTGGTGGTAGTAGACTTGGTCTATTGGTGAGTAATGGAGAGCTGGGATTGTTTCTAAGTAAGCATGAACTGCTAATATCTGTGATAAATTGTATTAATCCTCTCAGCTATTCACTTCCTCTCTGTAAGAGGATTTTACATCCCATTCCCACCCATTGCCAGATGATTGACAGCAGTATCTCTCTGTAGGCAATATACTTCCCCACCCAGTGTCAGGCTTGGCCACCTGACTTGATTGCGCCCAAGGAGCAGAAGTGGCAGAATATCAATTCAGGGCAGAAGCTTTGAGAGGCATCATGAATTCCTGACAGCCCTCTTGCTCCTTCTGTCTGCCACAAGAACAGCAGATCCCAAATCAGTGCTGTTCCTTCAGGGTGGGTCTCAGAAGGAGAGCTACAGCCTGGAGCAGAGCTGCAGCAGCTGACCTACAGCTGCTGTATGGGACATGGCCAAGAAAAAGCTGTTTCCCCAGTAAACTACTGCTCAATGTGTCTGCATGTACTACAGAGATTTGGGGGTATCTGTTCTTGCAGCCAAATCTAGCTAATGCAATTGGTCATATTACTAGTTCAACTGCCAGAGTAGGGTTCAACACATTCTTTGGTGATGCAGGGGTATCTGATTGTGGTAGATTAAATTACTGTTTGGAGAGATTCACATTTTCCCTCATTTCCAAGGGATGGAAATACTTCCTGGGTCTATAAATGTTGGGCATGGCAATGATATTGCTTTGGCCTCATGATAGGTGCAGTGGACTTCCTGCCCTTTGATGTTGGGGTTGACCATGAGACCTGCTTTGGCCAATGGCAGGTTGCTAGATGTGATGCAATAGAAGCTTGAAATGTGCTTGTGTGGTTGGGCTTTATCTCTGCACCTCAGCCATCACCATGAAGAGAAAATTCCCAGGCTTACCTATGGGCCCCAAAGGAGGCTGAGAGACATTCAGAATGGAGTTGACCTAGCAAAGCTTCCTCAAACCTACACTAGCAGGCCCCAGCCAGCCCACAAACACATGAGATAAATGAATGCTTACTATTCTATGCTGCTAAGATCGATGGCTCTTATGCAGCATTATTTATCAATAGCTCTGATGGTAAAGTGTCAACTTGATTGGATTGAAGGATGCCTAGATAGCTGGGAAAGTATTGTTTCTGGGCGTGTCTAGGAGGGTGTTGCCAGAGGAGATTCACATTTGAGTCAGTGGACTGGGAGAGGAAGCCTCCCCTCAATGTGGGTGAGCACCATCCAGTTGGCTGCCAGTGTGGCTTGAACAAAGCAGGCAGAAAAAGGTGGGATAGGATGTCTTGCTGAGTCTTCTAGCTTTCATCATTCTCCTGGGCTGGATGCTTCCTGCCCCTGGACATCAGACTCCAGGTTCTTCTTGCACTTACATGAGTGGTTTGCCAGGGGCTCTCGGGCCTTTGGCCACATACTGAAGGCTGCACTGTTGGTTTCCCTACTTTTGAGGCTTTTGGACTCAGACTGAGCCACTCCTGGCTTCCTACCTCCTCAGCTTGCAGACAACCTATCGTGGGACTTCACCTTGTGGCCGTGTGAGCCAATTCTCCTAATAAACTCCCTTTCATAGATATGTAGATCCTATCAGTTTTGTCCCTCTAGAGAACCTTGACCAATATAATAGCTGACTGTGTCAACACTGAGTGAGCAGCCACTGTCACTGTACTGACCTGGATGATGCAGCTACACAGGTAGTAACTGTGGCAGCAGTTTTGGTTTCCTTTTTACTCCCAGGATCTTAAAGGCCTTTATCCTAAAGATCCCTCTCCTCTGCCCCCAACTGCCCATTCCTCCCGTTTTTGTATGGGATATACTCATAGAGAATAGTAGGTTACAGTTCTAGCTAACAAGAAGTCTCTGATACTACAGAACTGAATATGCCCATATTTGTTAGTGATATTTTATCCTATACTGGCGCAATAAACCCATAAGCTTTGATCGTAGTTTCCTTATTTTTTGGATACACTTATGTATTGTTTATAGTGAATCTACTGCTTTTAAAATTAAACATTAGATGTTATATCAATAATGTTCACACATAAACATGCTTGAGGCAGTTCCCATGGTGGTATGTTTATGTGACATCAGGAACGGAATTTGAGCTTTCCAATTCCAAAGGGATTCCTTTAGGCCCATCATCAATATAAATGATACCATTGTTTGAAATATTTGCAAAATAGAAAAAATTAAAACCTCATTAGAAAGTGTCTTACTGATTTTTTTTATTACCTTAGTTGTCAGGGAGACTTCTAGACCTTAATAGCTACCGTCTTTTCTATAATTTAATGAGCAGTCACACAAACACCAATATTGCTACAGAAAGGGACTTTCCAGCTTTGGGAATATCTGTTTCTGACATTTCCTTTCAAAGGGGGATTTTTATAAACATAATTTTTCTTCTTCCAAAAGAGGAACCACACTATGATTCCAACTTCCATGGAGCCCATCGGGGATGGTGGTATTTCAGTTCAATTAGGGTGCTGTCTTTGTTAACTGTTGTGTTTAGTTGTGATCTCAGACTTCAGATTTGAAATCTCTCTTCGGGGAATTCATTTCAAAAGATCCAGATAACATAGTTTAGGCACATGGAGTATCTGAGGGCAGTCCAGTGTTGGAATGAGAAAGATTGAGTCTCAAAAACAAAGAAAGTCTCAAAAACAGTTATTAGAAAGAAAGTCACTGGGAACCCATCCAGCACTTTCTCCTGACAGGGCTGTCTTCCTCCTCTCACTTTACAGGATGAATGGTGCCAATTCTACCAGCAAAGCCTTCATCTTTAAAATGACTCATAAAAATGGTAACTGTAGTATGTGTACCATCACACTCACTTTGACTTAGAATATGCTTGAATGCATAAAAATATGTCAGGACACTGGACATACTCAACACAGAATGGAACTTTGTAGCCAATAATTAATTTAATAATACTTCCTATTTTAAAAAATAGCCTGAGTTCTAGAAATGGTGTGTATTTAAATGGATTTGTTTACTTTCCATGTCTTTAGCTTTTTGAAAACAAGACTATATCGCATAAAATGAGAAAACTGTTCATGCTACAGTGAAATAGCCATAAAGACTGTACCAGTAAACAGTTCCATCCACAGCATGTCAAGACCCCCAACTTCCTTTCTCAAGCATGGTGCCCAGCACTCATTTCCTTCCCCAAATGGAAACTCAGCCTGGCATTGCTCAGGTCAGTGGGCTGTCATTCAACACCGAAAGATATTGAGGGGAGGATGTTCTCCTACACCTTTAATTGAAATGGAAATTCAATTTAAAGGTGCTTTAAAGAATGAGATTGCAGCCTTGGAGCAGGCTAGGCAGACTTGTGGGATGCCTCATCAGACAGCAGCATTTTGCACAAGGAACTATGGTGAGCCAGGGCCTTTCCCCCTACTCACCCAAACTCATCTTCCAGATTTCCTCTGGGAAAATAAATCATTGGGCCATGCCTTTATCAAAATGTTAACTATCTCTGCTGTACAAGTTAGGGCTTGAAAACTATTCGTCAGAACTGGGAAAGGAAAGCATTCCACATTATGGTCCCATAAACTTCCTGCATTCAGTACTTGCAATCAATTCTGGTGTCTAAGGACATATTACTAAAGAGTGAGTGTATTTACAGAACCTAGGACAACAGAGGGACTCAGGCAGTGTCCAGCAGGGTGGCCAACTGTCCTTGTTTGCCCAGGGCCGGGGAGTTGGGAGTTTCAGAGCTAACACCAAAAAAATGTCTCAGGCAAACTGGGTAGAGCTGTTCCCTCCATGACTGGGTCAGTCCTCATCTCCCCAGTTATGCTCAGAGGAAGATTCCAAAGGTCTACACTTGCAGGCGTCACAAGTCCTCCCTGCCCATCCCATGGGCCCTGATGCCTAGAAGAAGACACGGGATTCCCGCCTGGCTGGAGGATGGGTCTGGGATCTGCTTGCCAGCCGTTCCCGGGATTGGGGGCAGGTTGCTGAGCCTGTCTAGTTGCCTGCCAGGCTTCCCCTTTCTTTCCGCACCCCTTCCTCCGCAGAGCCTCATGTCTACCTGGTTCTTCATCTGGTCCTGAGTCCTTGCCCATTCTACTGTGGCTCTGGCCCTGCTTCATTCCTGCCTGATTCATCCTCAGAAGGCAGGTTTCTGTCCTGTCCCTACACATCCATGGCCTTAAAGCAAGATGCTGACGCTGTCTTGATGGCTGGACCTGCCCTTCCTAGAGACGGCTGCTGCCAACCCATTTCCCAGACAAGTACCCAGGCCACAGACAGCAGGGCCAGCCCACGGAAAACACAAAGCCCTTTTTTCCCTAGCTAGCCTCTCCATGTGGAGGAACAAGTCCTATTGCTTGGTGGAGAGCCAAAGCCCTTTCCTTTCTCACTTACTCTTCTCTCACTGCTACTGGGATCCTGGCAAACCACACAGGCAGGTCCATGTGGCTTATGACACAGGAGTTCCGAGCTTTGCGACATGACATTGGCAACTGCTCAGTTATCCGTGATTAGTTATGAATCTAAATGCGTGGGCTTCCCCCTTTTCCTTCTCAAAGGCTGAGCTTCCCCTTGCCCTTTAGGAGCAAAAGTCTTCCCCTTTCTACTCCAGCACTCCTTGGTAGGCAGAGAAGCATTTACTTCTTCCCTGCCTACCCTGAGCCCCGGCAGTATTACAAACAAAAGTAAAAAGTAAAACACAAGGCAAAACTCATCAGCCACACGGGCTTGTTTTATTCCATTAATATTGGTTGTTCTCTTTTCTGGGAGTTGTGTAGGCATCTAATTTGATTATTTTAGTTATGTGTCCCTCTCTAATAGAAAAGAGGAGTGAGTTTGCCTGTCCTTTTTCCGTTTCAAGCGTCTGCTGGGGAAGGGCCTTCTGATACCCTCTCTGGAATCCTTCCACTCTATCAGTGTGAGGGAAGAGGCTCAGCTTCTTCATGTATGTTGCTCCTTTGCCATTTGGTCCATTCTTGTGTTTTCAGCAAAACCAGTTTCCACAATCCAAATTACTGTGCTTCTCGACTGTGGATAAATGAGAAAATACTCCTCTCTGTGAACGCGCTCCTTCGTGGAGACAGTAATGAGTACAACTTCCAGAGCTCTGCGCAGCCAGCAACCCTGGCAGGAGTCCCTGTGTTATTCATAACCCAGAGCTGTGTTGCCATGGCAGTACTGCTTGCTAGACCTTGGACCCACCAGGAAAATTATCTTTCTTCATGAAATAATCCTAAGAAGAGAGATGTGGCTTGAGGAGCAGATGAAATTCATTTAAATTCCACAGCACTAGATTGAACATTGATGTACACAGATGTGCCCCTTTGACATAGATGAAGCTGGAGGAAATTGTACTAAAAAGTAAGTAAGTGAGAAAACACATTGTCATTCAATCTCTTGAGGTCCCATCCAGGAAGATGATAAAAAAGGTATCAGGTGCTGGATTTTCATGGAATCAATCCTGCTTTCCCTAGAAAGAATTAAAATTAAGATCCATCTCATAAATGGGTGGATGAACACCTGGGTTGTGTTGGCATAGCAACACTTCTTCATGTGGGGGCTGATGGTGGGACCCACCCACTCATACAAACAGCGTGCGGCCCATGCAACACAGAGATGGCTAGATTACTTGGTCTGGAAAAAATAAGATGGTCCTGCTCTGTTTTCTTTTTTCTCTGAATTTGGTGCTATTTGAGAGACGGAAATAGAATTTCATATACAGAAAGGCAAACAGATTGAGACAAAGTCTTTGTAAGGTGTCTGAATAAAGGAGGTGTTAATTGGTGATGAAGTCCTTTTATCCTTTGCGGGAGAAGGATTTAGATGATGTTAGGGAAAACAGCCAGAACCAAGAATATTTTTCTGCTACAGGAATCTTTTGTGTAACAGCAAAACTATGTCACCTTCTTTTTTTTTTTAAGTTATACTTTAAGTTCTAGGGTACATGTGCACAACGTGCAGGTTTGTTACATATGTATACATGTGCCATGTTGGTGTGGTGCACCCAGTAACTCGTCATTTACATTAGGTGTATCTCCTAATGCTTTCCCTGCCCCCTTCCCCCACCCCGCAACAGGCCCCGGTGTGTGATGTTCCCCTTCCTGTGTCCAAGTGTTCTCATTGTTCAATTCCCACCTATGAGTGAGAACATGCGGTGTTTGGTTTTTTGTTCTTGCAATAGTTTGCTGAGAATGATGGTTTCCAGCTTCATGCATGTCCCTACAAAGGACATGAACTCATCCTTTTTTATGGCTGCATAGTATTCCATGGTGTACATGTGCCACATTTTCTTAATCCAGTCTATCATTGTTGGACATTTGGGTTGGTTCCAAGTCTTTGCTATTGTGAATAGTGCCACAATAAACATATGTGTGCATGTGCCTTTATAGCAGCATGATTTATAATCCTCTGGGTATATACCCAGTAATGGGATGGCTGGGTCAAATGGTATTTCTAGTTCTAGATCCTTGAGGAATCGCCACACTGTCTTCCACAATGGTTGAACTAGTTTACAGTCCCACAAACAGTGTGAAAGTGTTTCTATTTCTCCACATCCTCTCCAGCACCTGTTGTTTCCTGACTTATTTTTAATGATTGCCATTCTAACTGGTGTGAGATGGTATCTCATTATGGTTTTGATTTTCTCTGATGGCCAGTGATGATGAGCATTTTTTCATGTGTCTGTTGGCTGCATAAATGTCTTCTTTTGAGAAGTGTCTGTTCATATCCTTCACCCACTTTTTGATGGGGTTGTTTTTTCTTGCAAATTTGAGTTCTTTGTAGATTCTGCATATTAGCCCATTGTCAGATGAGTAGATTGCAAAAATTTTCTCCCATTCTCTAGGTTGCCTGTTCACTCTGATTGTAGTTTCTTTTGCTGTGCAGAAGCTCCTTAGTTTAATTAGATCCCATTTGTCAATTTTGGCTTTTGTTGCCATTGCTTTTGGTGTTTTAGACATGAAGTCCTTGCCCATGCCTGTGTCCTGAATGGTATTGCCTAGGTTTTCTTCCAGGGTTTTTATGGTTTCAGGTCTAACATTTAAGTCTTTAATCCATCTCGAATTAATTTTTGTATAAGGTGTAAGGAAGGGATCCAGTTTCAGCTTTCTACATATGTCACCTTCTTTAGTGATGAACATGGAGGGTAAGCAGACAGGGAATCCTGGATGTTCTTGTTAACACATTCTTGTCTCCTAGCCGCTGTAACCTCAGCCCTGGAGTTGACAAAAGAATCTGTCCCAGTGGGCCACAGATCCTAGGGATTATGGAGTTATTGCAAAGATCCACAAACCATTAGCAACCAAGCCTTGTCTGTTGAATGAATTAATACATCTTGGATTAAAAAAAATGTACTTTCTTCAGATAAAATTAAATACAGTTAGAATTAATAACCAATAATAAATTGAAAGGTGTTATTAAATCATAGTAAATTTGTGTCATTATGTGGTCTCAAAGAACAGAAGTGAAGAGCACAATTCCTGTCATGTGGGCAATCTTTAAATTTTTTTGACATTAATCAGACATCCTCATACTCAAAAAGGATGAGTCACTGTAAGCACAAATAAGGTGTCTCTACCTGTTGCTGAGAGTCTTGACATACATAAACTTCATGACAACAACTTCTAGGATCCCTTCATTTCTTTCATTCAATAAAATACACTTGAGTTCATTATATTTTTATCTTCCACTGACCTTAGGGACAAATTCTGCATGTTAAGTAGGGTGGATTGAGTGCTGTGACTCCCAACTGCCTACTGTCTCTCAAAGGTGAATAGGATGGGTTGAGTACCACGGTTCCCAGTTGCCTGTCTCTGAAAGATGAATCTTGGCCTTTTCTGGCTTACATTTCAGAGCCAACACATGACAAATAGTTTAGATCTTGAGGAAGACTGAGGAAGGCTTATGGAATACTCAGCACAATTATTTTTATGGCACAGAGTGAAATAGAGATTGAATACTTACACACGTTTTGATTAGTATGTGTGTTCCACCAGGCTTACACACTTCTCTTTGAGATCTGATCTAGACACATTTTTCTAAAGACATTTCAGGTATTCCCTCTGCAGTTCATAACAGTTTATGCACTGCATTGATACAGGCTGCTCTCAAGTTAGCAGGGGACAGGTTTTTGATGTCAACTAAGTGAAATATAGTATCAACTTCATGTAGGGTTGCTTGCTGCCATCCCCTTTCTTTCCACAATTCTGTAAACAACTTGGTACATTTTGTTGTCTAGAAATAGCCAACCTCTAAATTTAAACAGGTTGAGTATTAAATTATTGCAGTGAACATTTTTTCACATTAAAAACTGAATCACAGAATTCTTATTTGATCACCACATGTTTAGAAAAACTATTTTAATGTCACTGACATGAAGTTGTCCCAGAAACGAAAGGGTATGGGTATACACAATGTAGCAGTCATTTATCTTCATTTGTTCCTCCATTTATTCAGCAGATAGTTACTGGGTGCTGTATTCAAGGCATCTATTTTTAAAATAACCTCTGTGAAATGTTCATTTCAAAAATGTCTCCCCAGATGCATTCAAGATGCCTTCTATTTTCTCTAATCCTCTATAATTGCTTTTCTTTTTCCTTTTTTCTTTTTGAGCTGTTTTCCTTCTCTCCCTCCCAATAATAGGTCTTTATTTAACTATACTTATTTTCATCATATAAATATGCACAATATAACTAAACACGAAGTTGAAGAACATGCATATAAGACATGTCTTATATGCAATGTCTGGAAATCACTACAGTGTGTTTTAATTTTGATTGATGTACACATAGCCTTTCACATTGAAATCTAGGTAAGGTAAGTACAGCTATTAATTATGGAAACTAGTCTATATATTTGTTGGAATATGATAAATCAAGTCACCGTTCAAAGTTGAATAAATAGTGAACACAATATAACATTAATGCAGATTAATTACCATGGCCCAGAGACCAGCCATGAGACATAACATGCTTCGCTGTCAACAACATTCAGGATTGGAATTCCAGAGATGGCGTGTGCTACTGGCTTATGGCTGATACGTAAGAGAATCTCATCTATCTCTAAATGTTCTGCCTTAAGCCGCACAAAGGACGTACCAGTGAACAATGAGTTACCATGTGCAGAAAATATTCTGCAAATCAAGAACCAGAAAAGTAAGCAACCCGCAAACTCCAAAACTCATTACATGATTGTGATCTTTATTTTGAGGTGCATCTAAACTGATCTTCAAACTCTTCAGCTATACCTGACTTTCTCTGGAATACTTCTCAGCATTTTCAAACTAAACCAAAGGCTTTCTGAGTTACATAAGGAAGGCAAAATTTGGATATTTGACAAATTTGGAAGCACTGAAAATGGAGGAAATTCCGAGATGACAGTGGTTTTGGTTCTTGTGGTTCTTGTGGTTTTGGTTCTTGTTTTTTGAGGGGTGCAGAGTTGGGTTACTTAAGACTCTGTGCATGGCTCAGGCATCATTGGGCTGTGCAACACTCGTCTCATGTCCTACTTGATTTTCTTCTCCCTTTCCTCCTCTATTCCCACTCTTCCCTCGGCAGGTTCCCACTCTAATGTGTCTGATTTATATGTTTGCTATTAATGTGTTCTTATGAAGTGGAGTGTGCTGTGTGTATTCAGGTGATATAAATGGTATTGTGCCACTCCAGATCTTGTATTTCTTACTTTTTCACTCAACTATGTGTTTTAAGTGTCTACCCAACTTGTTCATGTGTGAGTGCATTGCTTCCAACTGTCGTGTGATTTTCATTAGGCCATACCTGCTGTGTCTCTGGTCTCCATCTTCCTAATGATGGGCACCTGGGTTGCCTTCAGTAATTGTGATCGGTGTTTTCATACATGTCCTTTTCTGACCTGCGTAAGGCTCTCCATGGAGTTCAAGGCCTAGAAGCGGATCCCTTGGGTCCTGGTGTGCAGGCAAGCTTTGGACCCTGAATAACGCCAGCTTGCTTTCTGTGTCTACCGCACTAGTGGGACTTGTGGGTCCCTATTGTCTACATCTAGATTTAGTATGCTTCAGTTTCCTAATTTTTCCAGCCCCCTCAGTGCTTTAAGTTGCACATCTCTAGTTACTGGAGATTCTTTGTACCTTCACTGGAGCACTTGGAAAACAGAAGAAATCAAAGGGCAGTCAGGACTCTCCCAGCAGGCAGGGACCAGGTCAGAGTCAGGATGAAGACAAAGCACCCTGAGCAAGAAGCAATGGAAGAGATGCTTGTGACCCGAGCTGATGGGGAAGGTTGAGGGCAACGCAGAGACCCCACTGCCGACTTGCCAAGAAAACGTGCAGGAAATGAGGGAAGGCTCCATTTTCCTGAGAAAAGGGATGGAGGAACATAGGCAGCATCAAGCTCCAGCTACTGGCTCTTTGAGAATGTAGTCGGGACTTGCCCCAGTCACCCTTGCCCTGAGAACTCAGTGACTGGGGCTAATGTCACCCTGGCTGTCCTTGACCTGTGCAGAAAGCACTGCCAACCCTGGACAGTGGGGGAAGGGCCTTATGTGCCCAGGCCCCAGCAGGAGACACCTACCAGGAATCTAGTGGGACAAGGTTTCAGGGATCCTGGAATCCTGCCCACACCCAACAGCTGGAACAGTTCCCTCAGCTGGCGAGTGGACAGGTGGTCTGATGAGCTCATATGTTATTGATGATGATGTTAAAGACCATGTTCCCATAGAAATAATTCCCAAAGCATTCAGAAGACTGAGAAGAAGTGATGATAAGAATTGTTCTGGGCAGGAGTGTGTAGTTTTGATTTTTACTTGTGATAAAGCAGAGGATTTGCTTGAATTCACTCAAACTTGCTTTTTCTCTCTCTTCAAAACAACTTTGGCTGACCAGTGTCTCATAGACACTCAATTTGCCTTTTCATGGAACTCAAAATTTTGTGTATCCATACATGCTACCATAGTTTCAGGCACTGGGCATTTCAAAAATGTGATATTTAGAACCTTTCTATTTCCGTGATGACTGTTGGCATAGATGCTGCTGGAGATTTCGATGACATGTTGGATTCAGTCCACGCAAGTTTTGATGCATATTCCCTTAATTTCTGAGCCTTTAGAGTTAGAGTTTTAGAACTGAGAGTACATTCTCTTCTTTTTTCCTTTCTCCTCTTATGTCAACAGGCTCCCTTCCCCACCCCCCCACCCACACACACAAACAAAAAATAAAAATAAAACGCTCTCAGCTTTGCTTTTAAGAAATGAAGAAATGTTCCAACATGTGACCCACAGCTGCAATCCGTTCACCTTTGCCAATACTGAGGCTGCCCTCTGGGTCCCTCCTGGGACTGCATAGATAGAGGCCCATTTGCTGTTCTGGGCAGCATGCCCAGTCATCTAGGAGGTGGGGGACTGGGGCACTCTTTCAGGCCAACTCAAACTAATGGAATAAAATATCTTCTCCATGCAGTGTCTCAAAGAAAGAGCCACCTGGGCTGCAGGTGACCAGACTCGCTCAGTGCAGCACGGTAGCTCCTAGCCTCATGTGCAGTCAAACACATGAGATGTGGCAAGTCTGAACTGAGATGTGCTATCAAGTAAACTGTACAATGGATTTCAAAGATTTAATAGGAAGCAAAGAGTATGGAACGCCTCATGAATAATTTCATATTGGTTACACCTTGAAATGATCATGTTTTGGATCTATTGGATTAAATGAAAAGTATTATAAATTAATTTCCCCTGTTTCTCTTTATGTTTTTTAATGTGGCCACTAGAAAATGTAAATGTACTCGTGTGGCTCACATTATATTCTTACTGGACAGCATTGGTCCAGAGGACTGGGATTTATTTTTAACTACTTTAATAAACATCAAACATTTGTGATAATTTTAATACAAATATTTCCCCATCGTATATGCTCTTGCATGGTAAATATTTTATCTACTCTTGTTTTAAAGGATAAGGAGGTTTTCAAAAATTGCCGAAGTACTACAGGTAATTTGGCAAATTCTCTTTTATGGGTACCAGATAGTGCTATTTCCACCCAGAAGCTGGCTACAGCTCTGTAATGTGACATGCTTACTCCTGGCTATTCTGGGCTGGTCCTCGTCTGACTAATGAGCTCATTATCCACTGGGCAGTGGGATGGAAGGACATGAGCACCTCAGCTGTCACTGCCGAGCTTCCTCCCAGCCCCACCAGGCCCTCTGGTTCCTGATGCTTGTCTGTAAGACCAATGGGTACTTTAACTTTTGAAGGTGGTTTCTGGTTCCCCCAATCGGTGAGCCCAAAGACCTCAAATAACATTTTATTCACACAGACTTCTTAGAGATGAAAAGTTTCTAGAGAGCAGAGCCTTTAGGGAACTAGTGATGATGCATTCACTGAATAAATCACAGTATTATACTCAAGAGCAAATACGTTTTCTTTCTTATTGGTGTCATCTTTCCTTGTGAAATACGGCAACTGATGAAGAAGTCTCCTATTGAGAATAACCAGACGAAATCACAAGGCTAGACAAGCAGCTACTAACACCATCCCCTTCCCCCTGCCCATGGTAAACCCTGCTGGCAAATGTATTTCTCCCTCCTAAACCTGGGAGGACTCACGTTTCTGCACCCAGAGCCCCAGGTGGAAGTAAACAATGGGAGTGAGCCGATGAGGTGGGATTGCTGTTCCTTGACTCTTAGTGCTTCTCATGCTAGTCTCCTGGGGATGCAGTTAAAATGCAGATTCTCTCTCTAGATCTGGGGCGGGGCTTGTTCAGCAGGCTCCCAGGGGAGACCAACGCTGCTGACTTGTGGGTCATACTTTGAGTTGCAAGGTTGCGTACGTGGTATTTGCCAGTGTGCACATTCATGAAAAAGTATCCTGCCTTAAGCCTGGTAGATCCACAGTTCCAAATCAACATTAAATACATCTGGTATACTTAAGAAAATTCAACATAAAAAGAAATCCATTTCTTAAAAAAAAAAAAGGCAGAGCAACCATTCTCTTTATCTGAGGACCTTTAAAAGCATCTGCCTTTATGTGTCACAGCATTAGCTACTAATTACTAAAGGAAAAAGTGCTGGGTGAATTATCACCTGAAAATAAAGTAACTCTCAAATGTTATAAAACATAAGATTAATGTTGACAGCCTCTGTTACTATGACATATTGTGTGCCAGGTGTGTGTGTGTTATAGGTGCATATATGTATATATATACACACTTGTATGTATCTGTGTATATGTACACATATCTATGTATCTATATAGACAGATGGGTTATTTAAATGAATTTTCAAAACACTAATAAGGTGTGATTTGATAAATGAATAATATTTAATAATAATATTAAAATAATATATTTGAATATTATTATTCTCCTGCTACTGATGAGAAAACTAAGGCTCAAACAGTTTAAGTAACATGCTAGTAAAAAAATGTTCTGAGTAGAATACCACATGTCTGGCCTAACCCTGACTGTCTTTTTTCTGACCCGAGACCAGTCCTCCACGTGGGGAGCTCTGAACACCATATTTATAACAGATGGTTATTTATAATGTCTTTCTCTTCTTTGGCAATTTAAATGAAGACGTCAACTTGAAGAAATGTTTCACCAGGAAGAATTGCAAAGAGAGCTGAATTAATCAAAGAAAGACGAATAAAGTGTTCTTTTAATATGGAGTACATAATTGTTGATGGAAAACACAGTCTTGGCAGAATTAAAAGATAATCAAAGAGATGAATAGGGCAAATAGCAATTCAGCTCATTAAATAAATACAAGGAAACTAACCTCTGCAGTTTAACCTTGAGCGATACCTTTTCCCATGAATAGAGAGTGTCGATACTAGGCAACAAGCCTCTGAACAGATAGTGTTACCCGGAACATCACCCTTTTCTCCCTTTGCTTCAAATCAAAACCAGCATCCCCCATTTAGACAGCATAAAAGGTATGACAAAACGGGACGCCAAGTGAGACACTGTTGATTCTGTTTCTATGAAATTCTAGAAAAAGCAAAACTGTCATGACAGAAAGCAGATCTGGGTTTCCAGAGCCCAGAGTGGGGGGAGGGGACTGACTTCACTGAGACACAAGGAAACTTTTGGGGATCATGGAAAGGGTCCGTACCACGGTTGTGGTGGTGGTTATAAGACTATATATTTGTCAAAAGTCTTCAAAGTGTGCACTTAGAATTGCTGAAGTTTATTGTACATAAATTACATGTAAATATCATAAAGTGCATGTAAATGGTATGTGAGGTAATAAAGCAATTTTTTAAAAACAATTTTAAACCTGGTATAGCATTTTGTTTTTTTGTGTGTCTGACTCAGACCAGGCAAAATTTAGTAACCCTTTGGCAACAGAAAATCAGCACAGATATAGAGCTAGAAGTTATTGTAAAAGAATAATAGTGGCGGCCGCCACGGCGCAGGAGTTGCCAAGATTTTCCTGGATGAATTCCATCCAAGATACGGTTTTAAGTCTCTCAAGGCCTTTGGATGCCTAGAAAGTGGGTCATCTTTCAGAATATCTGCGTCACTGTGGAGATGTTAGTAAATCAAAGACCAGCTGGATTTGTCCTTAAATGTAGCAAAATATGTACTTGCTTGGAAGTACTCTTAATCCTTTCATTCACTGGACAGGGAAGACTGGTTTCACAGTCCTGACTCCCTTCATTCGTTATCAACACCTCGTATTTTTTTTTTGGTAGATGATATATATGAGGCAGTAAACTTGTGGTCTGGAAAAGCAGAGATCATATTACCACTCTGTTTTAACTTCTAAAAGTTTGAAATTAAGACTTATACCAGGTATTTTTATGGAGTGGATTGGAGTATAGAAGCAATTATTTTAACTATTTGCTAAAAAAAAATTGCCTAAAATATTCAGTTATTAAAGGAAAAGCATTGTTCTGGATTGGATTCTTCAGATAATTCTGCTTTTGGCAACAAGTAACAGAAAACCAACTTAAATAGGTTTGGACAATAAGGACATTCACTGGCTCGTGTGTCTGGAATTCTAGCAACAGCAGCATTCAGGGTTGGCCAGACCAGGATCTCAACAATCTTATTAAACCATGGTTTTCTTCTCCTCTCTCCACTCTGTTGACAGGATAGCTTCATCTTAAGACTTGTTGTCTCATCAGTGTAAGATGACTGCTAAGTTGTATGTGAGCCCACAATTTCCTCATTCATTCCTTGAAGGAAGAAAAAAGATTTCTTCAGGAACTTCTGACTTAAAAGCAATGAAGGACTTTCCCAGAAGTCCATTTCTCATTGGCCCGAATTGGGTTGTATGCCCATTTCTCATTGGTTCAAATTGGGTCACGTGCCCAGTCACTGACATGGAGGATACGATTTCCCTAAACTAATCAGGCCTCCCGCTACAACTAGAAGGAGACTCAGCTCCCACAAACATATGAATTGATGGTGCGGGAGAGTGTAGTGGGAATTCTGTTAGGAAAGAGAAGGAAGTCAACAATCGGGTACGCTGTGTCTAATTTAAGTCCATGACTTTAAAAGTGAGCTTTTTTTTTTGTTACAAAAATAATGTAGGCTTAATTTTTTTTTTTTTTTTGAGACGGAGTCTCCCCGACACCCAGGCTGGAGTGCAATGGCACGATCTCGGCTCACTGCAACTCCGCCTCCCAGGTTCAAACGATTCTCCTGCCTCAGCCTCCCGAGTAGCTGGGATTACAGATGCCCACCACCAAGCCCAGATATTTTTTGTATTTTTAGTAGAGACGGGGTTTCACCATGTTGGCCAGGCTGGTCTCGAACTCCTGACCTCGTGATCCGCCCGCCTTGGCCTCCCAATGTTAGGCTTAATTTTTAATTTTCAGAGATTATTTGTAGCTGAAAAGAAGAAAGTAATTAATGAAATGATACGGCATACTTTTAAACAATAAATATCATATTCTACATACTGCAGACACATTACCGCATAATGGTTAAAAATACAGACTTTGCTATCAACCTCCTGGTTCATCTTCTTACTGTCTGTGTGTCCTCCTTGGGTAAGGTACATAGCTTTCCTCCACCTCAACTTCTTTCTCTCTGTAATAGGAATGATAGTAGTATCTGTACAAGTTTCTCCAGCACTAAGCCTCTCATTCAGGGGTCAGCAAACTACAGCTTGCAGGCCAGACATGCAGGCAACCTGTTTTTGTAAATAAATTTTATTGGAAGCCATTTATGTATCGTCTATGACTGTTTTCACACTACGATGGTAAAGGTAAGTAGTTCCAACAGAGGTCTTAGAGCTCACAAAACCAAAAACATTTAATATATAGCCCTTTGCAGAAAACGTTCGCCAACCTCTAGGTTAATACATAAGATCTTTATTTTCTTGTCAAAATCTAACATGTCATAATTCTGTGGTCATTGAGTGACTGGAGATCTGCCAGAGAAAGGCAATTATCTACAGAGCTAACATGAAAGCAAGAGATGCTCCTTTATTTTATCACTTAAAAACAGTGAAGAATCATGAACAACTGAAAAATCTACAAATGTGTTTAAATGTCAAATTAGGCTGGGCATGATGGCTAATGCCTGTAATCCCAACATTTTGGGAGGCGAAGTCAGGAGGATTGTTCAAGCCCAGGAGTTCAAGACCAGCCTGGGCAACACAGCAAGACCCTGTCTCTACTACTACTACTACTACTACTACTACTACTACTGCTACTAATAAGCCAGGTGCTGTGGCATGCACCTGTGGTACCAGCTACTCAGGAGGCTGAGGTGGGAGGATTGCTTGAGTCGGGAGGTTGAGGCTGTAGTGAGTCATGATTACACCACTACACTCTAGCCTAGGTGACAGAGAGAGACCCTATCTCAAAAAAAATTTTTTTAAATTTTTTTAAAAAGTCAAACTATCTACCTGAACTGACCAGAGATCTTGAAATATGTGATGTAGGATTTCCCTTCAACTCTGGGATGTTGGAACTGGAAACTTGAGTGAGAGTGAATTTGTTCACACTCATAGCTAGTGGATAGAAGTCATAGCTCTCAGCAGAAGTCTGAAGAGGAAATAAAAGAGAGCCAGTAATAAATTGCTGTGAATATTTCTTTTGAAAAGCAAAGAAAAAAGTATTGCCACCTGTGTGTGCTGAATGGACAGTGGTATTGATATGTAGACAAGGGATCCTGTCAGGGAATCCCTGGAGAGAGAAGAGTCTGAGACTGACACTGCCCGGCAGCCCCAAGTCTGAGTTGTGGAAAAGCCCTCAGTAAAAGGAAAAACTCATGGCAACGAGTTGGTGGTGATACTTTCATGGAGGAACATTGTCCTTGCAGGATGGGTGGTTTTAATCCTGAATTTAAAGATCTTTAAAATCTAAATTATCTAGTCAAATTTTTTTCATAAAACAATGTTTTAATTAAAGATTCAGTTTTAGGTCAAGTGCACAGTGTCTTTCTTTAAAAATATTTAGATGTGGCCATCAACTATCAAGAATGTTTCTAGAATGAAATATATTCAGCAGTGCTGTGTGGGGATCAGGAACACAGGCTCCACCAATCAGTTGCCTGGTTTCAATTCCTGGCTGATTTACCTGTGTACTATTCACTCCTGAAAGTCCTAAGCCTTGTTTTCCTTATTTATAGAATAAGATTAACAGAAGTACTAACTTTATAGAGCTTTGATGAGACTTAAAATAATCCACGTAAAGTGCTTAGTCTAGAATCTAATATCACACACTCCATAAACACTAGCCATTTTAATGTATTAACACATAGAAATGAATTGTAGAAAACATTTTGGCAACAAACTATACCATAATATATATTTGTAATCTATGGAGTTCCTATCTTTCACTTTTGATATTCCTGTCTTGTTTTTTGAGCAGCAAAGGTTAAGGTAGACACAGAAAAATCCCTCACTGGGGTCTTCAAATTTAGAAGGTTAGCTCAGGGGTCATCTTAATAGACATTATATTAGTTAAGATCCAGGTCAACTTGCTAATGAAACAAGGCCCCAAAAATACAGTGATGAAAAAGATAAAAGTGTCTTTCTCTCTAGCACACGCACACAGAGGTGAGCAGCCAAGCTCTAGTGAGGCAGCTCTACTCCATGAGTTCCATTTATCTTGCATCTCCACCATCGCCTACACAGGTGGTATGGTTGAAGCTCACCAGCATCTTCTTCCAGCAAGTTATTACCTTTTTAAATGCAGAGACCTAGAACTTATACACATGACCCCTACAACCACCTCATTGCTGAGGTCTTAATCACAGTGCCACTCACAGTTGAAAAAGAGGATAGAAAAAATGACTGTCACTAGGCTGCCATATGCCCAACTAAAATTCTACGTATTCTCAAAAGAGGGAAGGGAAGCATGGATGGTGGAATCCATCAGCAGTCTTCCACGGCGATTGTCATGGAAACTATTGTTTTGTTGACTCTAGACACTATTGATTTTAAGACACATAGTCATTTTATGTACCACTAAGTAAAGGAAACCATGTTGTTTAAACTGGGACACATTTCTTTCTTACCAGCTCAGTTGTAGGACACCTTCCAATTAAGAGATGTTAAAATGTAGAAAACCAATGTGTCTTGGTATAGAAGAAATACAGGATTGTGAAGACTTTGGAAAAGAAAGTGACCAAAGGCATTCATTTTGCAGTCTACTTTTGTGTGTGTGTGACTTTCCTTGGAGCAAAGATAGGCATAAGATATCAAGCTTTGGTTGATCTATTGAATTTACTGTTTAGAATCTGTGATTGACAAGGTACTATCAGTGTGTGTATGCTCTAAGTCAAATTCCTGTGATTACTGGTAGAGAGACTTTAGCTCAAAGCTTTGGGGAAAATGTGCCTAGATTTTCATTCAATCTGGGCCAAATCTGGAGTTGTACAAATAGATAGCATCGGTCTTGTCCTTAGTAGCCAGCATTTTTGTTTAATAGGAGGAGAGAAACCCAGGACGACACTGAGGAACAGATATGACCAGGGCACTTGACTTCTTGTTTCAGCACTCAGTCATTACACAAACAGTTGTTGAACACCAGGCACTTTGCTTGGTGTGACAATGCACTCCCGCCTTCCAAGAGCTCCAGACCCACAGGGGAGTGCTGTTGTACAGGTGCTAGGATAGAGGTCCGGGGAGTAGAGGCAGAATTTGGGAGCCATCAGTTCTATCTGAGGCTAGGAAAGGCTTCCCAGGGGAGGTAAAATCAGGACTGAGGAGGTCAAAGAGCCCTCCATGCAGAGGTAAGAGACTGACAAGCACAGGAAACTGGAGCTGCGGTCACTGCAGGGTATCATGCTCTGATGCTTCCGCATGTTAGACTGGAGGCAGGATGTGGGGATTGGGGGGTGTCCTCTCCAGCTTCGCTTTTTTCAGTGTTTTGTATGTAGTTGGCCAATAGCAGTATTTGTTGAATTGAATTGAAAAGACCAGTTTCTTGGATGGCCAGCTAGAGATGAGCTGAATTTTTCTGGATCAAAAAGATGTTAGATTACAATAAATGGGCAAAAGCAAAATAATACCTTTGGTGCTTACTCTTAAACTTAACATTACTCTATTTTGTTTGTGAAAGTCAGATTTGAGGATTTAGTTTATAAAGAAACCCTTAATTGGTTGGATCCCACTTGCTTCACCCACCCTGACTCTCATTTCCCCCAATGTAATAAATGTGCATATGTATTTAGAACATACAGAGCAGTTTAACATAAAGTACTGAAATTATCCTAAGAACAGATTCTCAGTGCAGCAATCCTATCTTTGTGAATTTGATGTGTTCTAAATGCAAGAGCAGAAGTGTTTTAATTGTCAGGTTTTAAGATATTATGAAAGCCCCTAGTCACTTCAGTAAGATCATTTGATTCTGGTTAATGACAAGTCTATACTATGCAGGTTTTTTTTTTTTCTGTCTATTGCTACTGAAATCTGCTTTTCTTATATAGATCACTGTTACAGATGAGGAAGTTAGTAATCCATCCTTTTTAGATCTGGTGAGAACTCCCCAAATGAGGAAATGCACACTTATTCTTATGTTTGCTTGGTAAGTTTGACTTGTGATGGATTTAAAAGCTTGCGTTAAATTTACAATACATCCCTTCCTTCAAATCAGCTTGAAGTTATCTCTTACTTGTTCTCTGGTGTCTTTCAATGTTGCTACAGGTTCACAAGCGCAGTGGTGTATCAAGGACTTGTCATGCGCCTGGGAATTATAGGGGGCAACCTCTATATAGACTTTTTCATCTCGGGCGTGGTGGAACTGCCAGGAGCTCTCTTGATCTTACTAACCATTGAGCGCCTTGGACGACGCCTCCCCTTTGCGGCAAGCAATATAGTGGCAGGGGTGGCATGCCTTGTCACTGCGTTCTTACCAGAAGGTAATCTTACCCCACATCTGTTTGGCAGCCAAAGGACTTGAAAACACCTAAATCCACAATCAAGTATAGGGAGCCACTTGTTCTTAGGAAATGTGCAATGGAATCACAGTCTTTCGTGATGTCACTCCATTTTCTGCTTAATCAGCATAAAAACTTCGAAGTAAGAGATTGGTTCTGTAGATGATTCTCTTTTCTCAATTGCTAGGATCATTTATGAATGAAATAGATATTGTGCCCAATCTAGCTGATAGCGATGTGGTTTCTGTTACTCATCTTTATGTGACTTACTTTTGTGATATCTCTGATGTTTAACTTATTTCCTGAACCTCTGCCATGCTGCTGGCACCATGCTAAACGCTGAGGTTACACATAGAAGAACGCAGTCTTGACTTCGAATGGTTCACAATCTATTAAGGGATACAGATACTTTAATATTGTCACGATTCTTATTGTCATGAATTATTTGTGAGATTTAGAAACTAATTAAACTATTTACAAGATTTAGAAATATAAAAAAATAGATTGGGGAGGAGTGATCAATCCAGAAGGGGATTCAAGAAAAGCTTCCCAGCAGTGGGAACTAAACATGCGTGAAGACTCAAATGTGCCAGATATCAGGGAGAGAGAGGACGGACGTTTCCAAACTAGAGAAGAGTTTCCAGAAGTATGAAACACCTTTGTGCATGCAGGAACTGAGGGTTCATTGCTGTGACTGGAATCCAGACAAGGAGCCTGAGAGATGATCTGTCACCAGCATGACCAGCCCTGCAGGTGGTCCTGTGAGCTTGCGGAGGAGGAGGAGTGAGTTTGGCATAACTGCAGCAGTTTAGAGATGGCTATGAGCAGGGGGAGATGCTGAGAGCAGGAGTTACAATTGGGGCAGTCAGACCTAGATGAGAGAGGGTCATTTCATTTCAGAGATGTTGCAGAGTTAAATTTTTCAGAGCTCCATGCCTGGTAGATGGGGTGCAGGCCAGAAGGAAGCAGAGGGTGCCGTGACTCCTGATGTGTGGTGAGCAGCACCCAGAAGATCCTTACCCTAGAACACACCAGGAACTGGGAGGAGGAGGGCTTCACATCCCAGGGGATGTGTGAAGTAGAGCAAGTTCATCATTCCCCTCTTCCAGGAAAGGCAAAGTGGGGATTACAGAGAAAGCTGGATTCTCCAGGCATCCTTTGTGTCTGCACAAAAAAGGCTGTCTTTCTTTGAGAATCCTCTGAGGACCAGCCAAGAAATGGACAATATAGTGGGAGTCAGAACAGTCAGACATTTACAGATGAGTTTATTAATTAAATGAAGGTTTATGAATTCTTAAAACACGAGGTAGGCCCTATTTGAATAAAATTACAGGAATGCCAATATTCGGAACACACACACACACACATACACACACACACACACACACACACACAATGTACAAGTCCCCTGACATGTTGGAATGTTTGATGATGAACAGCAACCACCTATTTACATTTCTCTTGTTTTCCTTGAGTGCATTCGCTTCCCAGGGCTGCTGTAATAAGTACCACAAACTCACCGGCTTGAAACAACAGACATTTATGCTCTCAGGGGTGTGGAGGCTGGGAGTCTAGAATCAAGGCATCCAAGGGTGCTTATGTCCAGAGGTTCTGGGGAAGGGTCTCTTCATGCCTCTCTCTGGCAATCCTTGCAGCTCCTTGGTGTCACTCCTATCTCTGCCTCCATATTCACAGGACATTCTCTTCTCTGCTTGTGTCAGTGTCACCTTGACTAATTACATCTGCAAAGACCTTATTTCCAAATGTAGTAGCCTTGAGGTTCCAGGTAGACATGAATTTTGGGAGACACTGTTCAACCCACTACATGGAATTAACATATTATAAGAGTTGGAGGATCTGTACAATAGCTATCTCTTAATACGTATCTATTTAGTATCGACTAATTGCCAGCCACTGAACTAGGAGGGGAATGGAGAGGTGAACAAAATAGACATAATTCCTGCCCTCAAAATTGTATAATTTAAGAAGAGTGAAAAATCGCAAACATTGGAGACGTTACTGTTCTATTTTACTTTGGTACTTTGGATATAACATACAACTGTAGCTCCCTGAGATGAAGTCTTCTGTTCTCATCGTATGTGGACTAGGAATGAATGAAATATTCATTGTATATGAAATTAGAAATGCAGCGAGAAAGATGCATGCTTCGGTGTGTCCCCTCATTTCATGATATATATATATACTTTACTCTATAAGATTTTCTCTGGTCCTAGATTGATTGGGATGACTTTAATGTTTGTTGCATTCAGAATGACCCCAGAAAGCATTCAAGGCTGTGTGTCCAAATCAAGACAGAAGTAACTAGCCGGATAGTCATATAACTATTTTGTAGAGAATTCTTTCATATATTGGAAAATATAACACCAAGAACAGACTGTTCTCCCTTGTCTAACCAGTTTTATTTTATAGATATAATTTCCTGATTGAAGCTTTAGAATTGTTCTCAGCAAGACTGAAAATGAATTGCTCTTATTCTAGACACATTTTATTTTTACCTTCTGCAGACTTGGCTGCTTTTATAGTCATATGTCAGTCATGACTGACTGGCAAGAATACATTTCAAATCCCTAAACTGAGTTCCAAATATTAACAGACGATCCTCCCTTGAGTCCTTCCAATTTAAAGACCCATTGGACTTGATTCCAGCCACTGGTTAATTAGCACGAGAAAGGCTTTTCTGCTCAGCCATTCCTGACGTCAGTAGTAGGTCGCCAGCCCCTGGGGAGAATACAGATGAGCTTTTGGAGAAACCAGCTCTAAAATAGTCTCACAGCAAACACTTTAATCAGCTTTCCCTCCACTCGACCCAACTTTTCATGGTCTAAAGAATGGAATTCTGGAAGAAGAAATAGTAGTTCTGGTTGTATTCTCATCTCAGACTCACTGCTTCTAGTCCAAATTTCTTAACACTCATTAATGTCTGGAAAATAAAGACCTTTCTTTATCCATACCTGTCTGCCATCTTTAATTTGAGTTTATTTAGGATGACCACAAACCTAGCAGTTTGGATAAGTCGTCTTCTTGAACTGGAAAACTTGTCTTCCACTTTTATTTTTCTTTAATTGAAAAGTGAGTTCATGTATCTTAATTTAGACATTTCTACTAGAATTTCTCACTAAACTTTATTTCAGAACTCAGAGTAGATGATCCATTCAGAGGACATATAAAGTTTTGTTTAAGTCCTGCATCCTTTCTTCAGGAATTGAGGTATTATTCCCAATCATCTCTAGTAGCTTGACCAAATCCACATTCAGAAGAAAACATTTTCTTTGTTCTCATGTAATTCCATGGAAGACAATTTTAGTTTCAGTACTCATTTTTAAATTGCCCTGTGGTTTTTGTCATTGCTACCAAAAGATGTCTATGGCCACCTCAAAATGAATTTAGCTTATTACTGGAATCAAGAATTTCTTTGTGTGTATATATTTATTCATACTTCCTACAGTTTTCTTTTCACTCTTTAGTTAATGAACCATGCAATGCCTTAGAAACTTTTCTTTGGTTACACATTTCAACAAAATCTCTGTTCCAGTATAGTTTGATACTGGACTCTACTGCTTGGAAAAGAGTTGGGAGTCTTTCAGATTAAGGTCAATGTTCCGGACAGACCACATCTCCACAAATGGGGCAACTTGGCATTTTCTGAATGTTTTACTGAATTGACTGGCTATTTATCTGAGTTAACCACATATGTTTATCATGGTGGAGTGTGTGTGTGTGTTTTAATTTGGTCTCTGGCTTTTGTTTGGATTTTTCCATGAAACACCTTGCCTCGGTTATAAACCCAAATTGCCCTTGAATTTGTCGGTGGGACTCAATTTTAGAGCAATCTTGATTTAGTGAAAAGAAACATACAATGGAAGAACCCAACCTGGATAGTGAAGCTGTTTCCTAGGTAGCAGGCAGCCTTCACTGCAGCCCGGGAGTGGCAGGAGATGGTCCCATCGGGCTGGGACCCAGGGAATCTGAGTCTCTGCTCCCACTTTCCCCTTCCAGTACCACATGCTCATTGAAAGATGGAGTGGAATGCATTACCTAGTCTCCACTCCCCCCTTTTCTTGGTCTTCATAAAGAAGCAAAGCCTAAATAACACATGTTGACAAACCTTCTGCTCCAGAGCAGACAGTGGCCCAGCACATCAGCACAACCCTGGCCTCCTCACTGCCTGATATAACCGTTAACGTGACAGCTACAAGGGTTCTCATGTGGGAAAAACATCAAGTGCACCAGGATGTCCTTGGCCAGTTTGCAGTCAAAATATGTAAACTTCAGACTCCCAGAAATGGTTTGGATTCTTGAGCCATCTTTTCCTTACACCTGTGCTCCTGGGCAATTGTTTTATTTAATGAATTTTAGCTTTTTTTTTTTTTTTTGACTTGGCTATTCTCTAGAGAGAACACACAGAAGTCTACTGGGCTTGATTCTCTTCTTTCATCCTCCTCATTCATTTCTACTAAAAAATTATATATTCAGGAAGGTTCAATAATTCCCCTAGGAAACAGGAGGACTATTTAGTGCTAAATGAACATATGTGTTGGATATAAAGGGAAAATGAAAGGCACATGAACACTGGACATGCTTCGTTTTGCTTTGGAGAGCAGATATGGTCTTGTTCATGCAGACATATGTCCTCAATACCAAATCCCCTAGGAAAGGATGACATCAATTGCACAACTTCTAGGAAAGCTAGAGCAGTGACTTTTTAGAGTAAAAATGGTTAACTCCTCTGCCCTTAAAACATAAAAGAAAGAAAATATTTAATATAGAATGTTTGGCATTTCCCACTAGTTAGTAGGGAGGAAAGGAAAATTTCTTCATACAACCAGAGCAGTCCTAAAACAGTTCATTTTAAAATGGACGAACCAATTAGCATTGATGAATGTGGCTCCTTCTGGATGGTTTATTGAAGGAAGTAGTACAATGGGGGATGAAGAAGACAATGAGTGACATTTGCCTTAGTGGTAACACACAGAATAGATGTCCCCTTCCAAAGATCCTGGTCCTCAAAGCTTGCTCCACTCTAGAAACCAAGGTCAGCTCACGTGAGGAACTCCCCAGGTGTGCTGGGAACGGCTATTCCTTGTGTCACCACCGCAAGGTATGCACAGAAAGGACAGCTGGGCACCAGCTGTGGGAACGTGGTGGCTCAAAGGCATGACTGGAAACTACCACCTGGACAAAAAGCCAGTGTGCTTTGGCTCTCTAGGAGGTCATTGCCTGGAACAATGTTCCAATGTAGTGGCTGCTCATGCTCAACAAACGGTTCTTGAATTGTACTTCCTATAATCCAACCTGCTCAGAAAGGCATCTAGCGCTCTAAAATATTAGCTATCATCTAGTTTCATTGTTGTTGAAATTTGGTTACATTATTAGAAAGTTCTATCATTTGTGCTTAAAATTGGCAAAGACTTCAGACTGGAGGCCACTAAGCAAATACTTTTTGTTGTTCTGTAAAATGTTAATGAAATCAGACCCCTAACTCCTCCCTTTCAAACTTTCTGTGTTTGCAGGAATAGCATGGTTGAGGACCACAGTGGCTACATTGGGAAGACTAGGGATAACCATGGCCTTTGAAATTGTTTATTTGGTAAATTCAGAATTGTACCCAACAACATTACGGTAATTCTAACAAACGTTATAGTTTCTCCTAAGTAACTCTGTAGACCAGCGTTTTAAGTTGATTTAGTTAAAAACTATGAAGTCGTTTCCTTAGCTCAGTGATATATTAGCCTAGGCTGAATCCAGCTAGTAAAGAAGATATGCTTTGAGTTATCACTGCTTTCTGCATTGCTGCCTGCTGCATTTTGTGATAAAAGTATTTCTCATATTAATATCTTCACACACTGTTACGGTTTTGAGGAAAGGCCCTTAACTTGAAACCAGAAGACCTCTAGGTGCCCTTGCTTAGACTGTGGGTTAAATCTGTATCCATCAGCATCACCTGCTGCAAGACTATGGCCTCTCTTTGACTGCATTACATGCATTGCAGTGGTGAGCAGCTGGTTATGAAGGATGAAATGAAACAGTGTGCACGGATTAGTGCAAATCAACCTCCTCTGCTGAGGAAGCATTCCCTGGGCACACTTCTCCCTCAGATGAGGAAACCAAAGTAGCACAAAGTGACCCAGAGCAGGCAGGGCAGTGGGTTGCTGATGGATAACACCCTCCACCCACGCTGGAGACTTCCTCACTAGCCTTACTGTGAAACGTGCAGAATGGAAATGTTTTGCTTAGAGTTCTGAGAGTAGTCGTTTTCAAAGTTAGAAAATGCAAAGTATCTTCACACTTCCTTTGGTTTTTTAATATGTCTGAATATGTTGATTATCTTGAAGTCACTTGTTGAAATAGTTTTCACTTAAAATTACTTTTCATTCAACAGAAATTTCGGAGTTTCGCTCTGTTCAGGTCTGTGTGATTTTGGGGGAATCATAGCCCCATTTCTGCTCTTTCGGCTAGCAGCCGTGTGGCTAGAACTACCTCTGATCATCTTTGGTAAGAACTCATTTGCTATTCTTAAGAGCCTTCATCTACATTCTTTGTACTAAAAGAGACCTATAATAATTGTTAGGTTCAATAATGATAATGATAGTCATTTATCTTATTATAATAACTATTTCATTGATAATTATGATATTAATTTCATCTTATTATAATAACTATTTCAGTTTTGAGAGCCAATTCAGTTATAATGAATGGTTTTAATTTACTTTATATTAAAGGGTGCTGATAAATAATGTTCAATTAGCATTCTTTGGGTTCTGAGTTAAATGCTGTGAAACTCTTATGGTATTGGAGAACATAACCAATAATTTTCAGGGGACTAAATTAAATATTCAATATGTTTAAAAATGAGGGCCAGGTGCAGTGGCTCACACCTGTAAGACCAAAATGGGAGGACTGCTTGGGCCTAGGAGTTCAAGACCAGCTTGGGCAACATAGCAAGACTGCCTTGACAAAAATTTAAAAATTAGCTAGGCGTGGTGATCCATGGGTGCCTGTAGTCCAAGCTACTCAGGATGCTGAGGCAGGAGGATCAAGGCTGCAGTGAGCTATGGTCACGCCATTGCACTCCAGCCTGGGCAACAGGGTAAGAACCTATCTCTAAAATAAATAAATAATAAAAAATAACAAAAATAAGCCTAATGTCTAATTGTATTTCTGGTGTTCTCTCTCTATGGATATCATATCTTCATTGGCCCGATGCTAAAAATCCATGTGGAGGGAGCAGGTGACACAGGATCCCGGGCACACATTCCATCACCTCCTCCAGGTCCCTCGAGTGCACCTCTCCTCCTACCTCCAGCTTCCATAGGACTTGTGAAGGAACAGAATCATAGTCTAGGAGGGACCTTGGGGAATTCAGTGTCCCACTTCTCCAGGGCTGCTCCAACGGTCCTGCCTGGGTTTCACACACTTCCCCTGTGCCCTCTTCTGCAGTAAAGGATACGGGTTGGCCCCTTTCTCACGCAACCGTTTCTCTATCTCCACTTCCTTACTTCTGGTAGAGAATGTTTTTCATTTATGGTTCAGCAGTTGAAATTTGAATGAAAATACTGAGCCCATGAGGACAGACCTTCTGCTTCATGCAAAAGTCCTTTGACAGTGTGAGGGACAAAGAGTCGGCTTCTACCACTTGACACCAGTGACCTCAATACAGGATCACCTCAAATTATTGTATGGGATTTGGTCATCAAGCTGAGTGTTAATTCTGTGGTCAGCATGAAAAAGCAGAAAGTGCTACTGTCCAGCAAAGACAGAGTAGTCCAGGAGACAAGACACATGACCTTCAGGACTGCAGCCCACAGCCCAGTGGCAGGCAGGCGGGGCCTGAGACTGCGAGGGGAGACAGCCGAATTTCTAAAAACTCAGCGACAACAGAATGTGATAACTGCTGAGACCCTGAAAGCAGAGGCTCCTATGAGAATAGGTCACAGGGACCCTTGACCCCTGAGTGGAAGGGAGCAGGCCAGGGAGGAAGGAAGCAATGTCTAGGCCAAGAGGGGCTGGCTGTGCTCCAGGCAGTGGAAAGTTCAAAGCAAGAGGATGCCGCATCCTCAAGCACCTGGTGCTAGAGGATGGAGTGCAGTTGTGAGCTGGGCCTGAAGAGAGGTGGTGCCAGGGCAGGGCAGGGACTGGATCCGGAAGGGCCTCAAGGACATGCCAAGGCTTTGCTCTTTATACACACAGCAGTGGAAAGTGACTGGACAGTTTCACCCTGAGGTGGACAGAGCTGGCCTTGCATTGTAGAAACACAGATATGCAAGTGGGTTGGAAGGACCCCCCAGCATCGTCCCTCTGATGGTAGATATGCAAGTGGGTTGGAGGGACGATGTTGGGGGTGACAATTCAAGGATGTCATCATCAGGAGATCACAGTGGCTTCTTCTAATAAAGGGATGGCAATGGGAATGGAGAGGGTGGACAGATTGAGTAAACATCTTAGAAGCCAGCTGGGCAAGATGGGATCACTGATGGGCACAGGGAGAAAGCATGGTGACCTGAGAAGCCCAGGTGCCTGGGGAGAAGCAGGTGGCACAGGCACTGTAGCAGCAAGGCTGAGGGTCTGCAGGGTGATGGGGCTCTGTGTCCGCTGTGCATAATTTGAGGCACCTGGAAGAGTTCAAGTGGAAATAGAAACCAGCAGGCTCAACACCGCTGAGCTCAGGAGGGAAGAGTGGCCTTGGGATGAAGAGCTGGAAGCCACCTGGCAGTAGAGAATGGTTGAAGCTGAGGGAGTGGCCCAAGCCCCCCAGAAAATCAGGACAAAGCAAGAGGAAAGCAGGAGGCCTAGGACAGAGACCTGAGGGGTGGCAAAGTGACAGACCTAGGCAGAAGGAGAGGAGGTGGCCAAGGAAGTGGAAACCAAGTGAGAAGCCCGAGGCAGGAGGGCACGAGACCAGGTCCAACCTAAGGACTGAAAGTAGCACATGTGGATCTGGTGGCCAGCAAGAGGCAGAAGGAACCTGACTGGAGCAGAGCCAGGGAGAATATAGGCTGAGTCTGGAGGAGGGCAGGCAGAGGCAGGACCTGGAGCATGGTCCTATGCTGGTGCTGGCACCTCCCACTCACCAGGGCCAACTGCTACCATATTAGTTCGTTTGCCACTGCTATAAATAACTGCCCAAGACTGGGTAATTTATAAAGAAAAGAGGTTTAATTGACTCACAGTTTCACATGACTGGGGAAGCCTCAGGAAACTTACAATCATGGTGGAAGGGGAAGCAGGCACGTCCTACATGGTGGCAGGTAAGAGAAGAGCAAGGAAAATTACCACTTATAAATCCATCAGATCTCATGGGAACTCACTCACTATCACGAGAACAGCATGGGGAAACCTCCCCAACAATCCAGTCACCTCCCACCAGGTCCCTCCCTCAACATGTGGGGATTACAATTCGAGATGAGATTTGGGTGGATAGACAGAGCCAAACCATATCAGCTACATTTTCAAGAATTTTGTAAGCCAGTCATCAAGCACAGATATCATCAAAAAGTAAAGAATATGAAATATATGAGAAATAGAGGCAATAAATGCCCAACACTCATCAGTCCCTAATTCAGCTACTACACCTTCAGTATTACCTGTGCTCCTGAGATTGTGTCTGCTGCATCTTTATGGTGGAAGCCCCATTGATGGGGCTCCTGCATCACTTCCCAGTGGCCCAGGCAGGGATGTTGTGTCAGTAGCCTGAAGGGCCCACAGTGGGAGCATTTAAACCATGCACATTGGCAGATGCTGCCAATCAGGGCTTGATTGCCCAAAGAGGGTTGTTAGGCATTTACCAGCACACCACTAGGCTACAAAGAAGTGGAGAAAATAGGGGAGGGTGGCTTTTCAAGAAGTTTGGCTCTAAAGAGCAGAAAAAGAAAGGATGGTAATGGAAGGATGAGGTGAGATTGAGAGAAGGCTGGTCAAACAGGAAAGGTCTGAATGTGTTTGAAAGCTTCTCCCAATAGGTTGAAGATACTGGAGGAAGGGTTGATCCCTACAGTGAGGAGCCCAAAGAGACAGGCCTAGGAGAAGGCTGGTCCCGGAGTAGACACCAGGACAAGCTTTCCACTGTAAGGTAACAGGAGGAATCGGAGGGAGAGGGGCAGGTAAGTGAGAGTGTCAGTGAGCGGGCGCAGAGGGGACTCCCCTCCAGCACTTCTGTTTCCCTGTGATGCAGGAGAGGAGGCCTTGGGTGTTGGACCCTAAGAAGGAACTCAGTCAATCACTGTGAGATGTGTGAGTGAACACATGGCTGCCAGGTATACAGGGGCCGTGGTGCTACTCAGGGTTTGAGGAAGGGAGAGAACCTTTGAAGCTGTGGTAAGGGAGAGCTGGGGCATTGATCTGGGATGCAGAGGTTGCTGTGGTTGAGAGCTACTCCAGTGAGCAACATGATGGCTTCAGAGTGAGCAGGCCCCATGGGAGAGGGCCCAGCTGTGTCTTCCTGGAGCGGTAACACCTTTCCCCTATTCCATAGGTATCCTGGCATCCATCTGTGGTGGCCTTGTGATGCTTTTGCCTGAAACCAAGGGTATTGCCTTGCCAGAGACAGTGGATGATGTAGAAAAACTTGGCAGGTACTGTACAAAATTCAATGCACCCTAAATAAAAGCAATATTTAAAACCACGGGGGAAAGAATGACATTGAGAAAATTGAATATCCACAGGGAAAAAAATAAGAATAAATCCTCATCTCATATTGTAAGCAAAAAATTCAAAGTAGATACAAAAGGTTAACATAAAAAAAACCCTCCAGAGCTAGATAAGAGTATGCATTGTTTTTTTTAATGTGGTTGTGAAGAGAGAAGCATTTTCACATAAGGTGCTAAGACTCAGAAGTGATCTAAAGGCAGGAACTGCTGATGTGGGAAAGTGGAAATTGCTGGGACATACAGCAGCAGGGGATTAACAGTGTGGCTTACTCTACAGAGTGAGGATGCGTCAGGTCTGTCTAGATGGAATGGCATAGGCAGGTTTTCAAGACTGACTACAAAGTGAAATGTCACTGAACAACATGTTATAGTATTTATAAAAAACTAAAACCAAAGGTGTTTTCTCTCTGCAGCTGGATAGGAAGACAGATGACACACAGATGATAGATAATAGGTAGATGATAGATAATAGGTAGATGGATGATAGATAGATATAATAGATGATAATCATAGATAGATAAGTGATAGTAGATAAATGATAAATAATAGATGATAGATGATAGATAGATACAGATAGATAAATAGACAGGTAGATGATAGGTAATGTCTGGATAGATAGGTGGATAGATAAATAGATAATAGATGATAGATAATAAACATTAGTAGGAAGATAGAGAGATTGAGTTTTGGAGGGGGGTGTTTAAATAGGGTATAAGTAAAACTAATACCCAGCCAATATATTAACATGAGGAGTAATGTCAAGAAAAATTCACATTACACAAATTCTTTCTAATTGTTTGAAATTTTTTCATTAAAACATAGAGATATGAATATGAGAATGTATAGTACAAGATGTAAAATATTAATATGTGCCCTCTGTGGACACAAATGGGCTGGGAAGAGGGGTAGGGAAGGGAGGACCATCACTTTCTTGCCAGAGACTTCCATACTGTTTGATTTTCTTTAAAAATTAGAACACGTAGTCTTGTGTTGCTTGTGTAGTTTTAAAAAATGATGTAACAGCTAATTTAACAACTAAAAAGCAATCTTAATAATGACTTAGGAATTAAGAACATGGAGCTCTAAATATTTTTAATATATAAAAAATCCTGAGGAACAGCTTTCTTCCCTTTGATTCTATTCCACTGACTGCCTTCTGTTTACACAATGAGAGTGATGCTTTCATTCTTTATCCCCAAACCAATCAGGATCAGATTTGCAAACTCATCAGGAAAAAATGGAAGAAAAGGGAGTCCTCTGAAATCAAGACTTTTCTACTGCTTCAGTAACATTAAAAATAAACAGCTAGGAGAGGTTTTTTTGTTTTTGTTTTTGTTTGTTTTTGGCTTGGGGAGTGTGGGTGGAAGGGGGTTGTCTAAATGGTGTGCAAGGAAAATCAATACCCAACTAACATATAAACATGAAGGATTATACCAGCAAAAATTTAAGGTACCCAGATTCTTTCTAATTTTTTTCTGTTTATAATTTTTCATAATGAAAAGTTGGGTACATTAATTAATTATACCTAGTCTCTATACATGAAAAAAAATATAGTAGAAGTATGGTTTACAGTGCTACAATTTAAGCACATTAATTGTGATCCATGGTTATTTACTCTACAAAAATTACTTAGTGCTAAATTACTAAAACTTGCTAGCATTTCCCTTTTAAAAATCACACTGGATTATTTTATCGTTTCTGCTGGTTTTTGTTCATGTTAACAGCTCATTTCCAAATATATGTTAATTCAGTAGAAGTTCATAAAGAACTTAAATGCTATAATGCTAACAAACCCCTGTATCAGAGGAACCAGCCCCCAATATTTCAGCATAGGTTCTATTTTCCATAAGTGTTGGCCAGCTGAGAAATAAAAAGAGTACAAAGAGAGGAATTTTACAGCTGGGCCGCTGGGGGTGACATCACATATCGGTAGGACTGTGATGCCCACCTGAGCCTTAAAGCCAGCAAGTTTTTATTAAGGGTTTCAAAAGGGGAGGGGGTGTAAGAACAGGGAGTAGGTACAAAGATCACATGCTTCAAAGGGCAAAAAGGAGAACAAAGATCACAAGGCAAAGGGCAAAAACAAACATCACAAGACAAAGAGCAAAAGCAGAATGACTGAAAAGGGTCTATGTTCAGCGGTGCATGTATTGTCTTGATAAACATCTTAAACAACAGAAAACAGGGTTCTAGAGCAGAGAACTGGTCTGACCTCAAATTTACCAGGGCGGGGTTTCCCAATCCTAGTAAGCCTGAGGGTACTGCAGGAGGCCAGGGTGTATTTCAGTCCTTATCTCAACCGCATAAGGCAGACTCTCCCAGTGCGACTGTTTATAGACCTCCCCCTAGGAACGCATTCCTTTCCCAGGGTCTTAATTATTAATATTCCTTGCTAGGAAAAGACTTCAGCAATATCTTCCCTACTTGCACATCCATTTATAGGCTCTCTGCAAGAAGAAAAATATGGCTGTATTCTGCCCGATCCCACAAGCAGTCAGACCTTATGGTTGTCTTCTCTTGTTCCCTGAAAATCGCTGTTACTCTGTTCTATTTCAAGGTGCACTGATTTCATATTGTTCAAACACACATGTTTTATAATCAATTTGTACAGTTAACACAGTAGTGGTCCTGAGGGACATACATCCTCAGCTTACAAAGATAACAGGATTAAGAGATTAAGGTAAGAGATGCATAAGAAATTATAAAAGTATTAATTTTGGGAACTGATAAATGTCCATATTAAAATGAAATATTCACAATTTATGTTCAGAGATTGAAGTAAAGACAGGCATAAGAAATTATAAAAGTATTAATTTGGGGAACTGATAAATGTCCATATCAAAATGAAATCTTCACAATTTATATTCCTCTGCTGTGGCTCCAGCTGGTCCCTCCATTCAGGGTCCTTGACTTCCTGCAACACCCCTAAGGTCTGAACACAGACAAAAAATGATCCTGGAGACAGATATTGTTGTTACCTTAGAGTTGGGTTTTCATGAATGTATTTGATCAAAACCAGCTATACTATTAAATAATAACAGAACACCCTCTTCTAACTAGTTACATAATCTTTCCTAAAGACTTTCTCCTTTGTTTTTTCAGTCCACATTCCTGTAAATGTGGCAGGAATAAGAAAACCCCAGTTTCCCGCTCTCACCTTTGAGGCCCCCGACAAAGACAGAAAGAAGGAGCTATCCAGGAGCTGATCCTCCTTGCAAAGCTGTGCCTTGCAGAGATGCACGTGTGCATTTCAGCTACATCATGCCGCGCTGTTGTAATACTGTATAAAGACCTCAATCTATCCAGAGTATTTTTATATAATGTTGGATGAGTTAGGATTTGTAATGCTGTTGAAGTTTCTGGGAACACATAATATGTAGCCAGTTTAACAAAGAAGCTGTCAGGTGCACAGCCCTTCCTGGGTTTTTTTCTTGTGTTCCCTGTGGTCTCTGACCCATTAGGCTAAAGAGAGACAAGAGAAGCCCCCAACCTGATTCTCATGACAGCTCCATCAAGAATGTGGGATGTGCCGACCAAGGATTTGAGAAAGTTGTACAGAAATGTGTTCATCAAATCTGGTCAAGGGACTAAGCTCCTAGCTGACCATTCATTCTGAAGATTGCATGGAGGATGAACATCTGGGAATCCTGTTAATGAGAAGGCTGAATCACAGGCACCTGGGCCAAAGGGTGTGAGCATTCATGTTCTCTGCTCACCTTGGTTTCCGCACACCTTCGCAATGTGAACAGGTCAGGAGTCCCTCCCGTCCACCTCCTCTGTAACAGCTGGGGTTCCAGGCATGGTTTAGGCCCTGTTCCAGCAATAAGAACCAATCTGCTGTACAATCTGAGGACTTGGCTCTGTTATTTACAAAATGATGCTGTGGTTCTGAGATTATTTGGGACATTTTTGGCTCTCCTTTAGTGGACACCTAGAGCCACAGATTCCCTTCTTTACTAAACAAATCCCATGGATTCTGATTTCTGGGTCTTAGGATTTTAAAAGTGAAGGGATATTTTTCTTATATTTGTGAGTTCAGTTCCGATGGTGCCCGTGGTCAAAAGCGAAAAACATGGACAATTCCTATTCATTCTTAGCACTTTGACATGTCTTGGGGAAAAGCTTACATTTTAATTTAAAAGAAAGATCAATTATATCCATGCTTAACAGGATCAGCAGGAGCTTTATAAATGACTTTACAGAGACTAATAAGGGATTTGATCTTTCTTTTTTTGTTATCGAGGCTTTTGAAATGTGGAACTTGTGTGTTCTGCTTTATATGTTATATTCAATATCTTTTCAGATGCAGTCTATATTTTATGCTGAGTTTTAAAAATGAAATACTTTATGCAAACAGGCAAAATTGGTACCAAAGGGAAACATTAACCATGAGGAAGAGCATTTTTCTAAGGAGAACAGGTGACAATATACACATGTGCGCTAATCGTAAAATGAGCATCTTAGTCTTTAAAACACATCAGAATTGAATACGAATAATCTATTTGTCGATGAAATAAACACAACTCTTTGAGGATTTGAGACTACATTCACCCTTTATTCACAGTCACTTGCAGTTTTGCTTTTCTCTGCATTTCTCTGCTGTAAGATGACTGTTGCATTGTTGAATTGTATTTTGAGTGGATATTTTTGTTTGGTAACAATTAAAATTTTAAATCGTAAAAAATGTACATTTGCCCTTTCTCTTCCTTCTAAACATGTGTCTCTCCCACAGGTCATTCTCCTGTGACACGTGTACTGCAGAGTGTTTCAAAACCGGGCAGGCAATTAGCAATGGGAAATAAGTGGTCCACCTTCAATATTTGCTTGTTGTTCATTTACATGCTCTTGGCACCAATCCTAGACTCACGTGTGCCCCAGAATAACATTCAGACTCTCAGCTGGTCTTGTGTTACACATCCATGGACCGGTTCACTCCATCATATACAGCTCTCTGCTCCGTGTCCCCTGGGCTCAAGTCAAGCAGTCGGTGACAGATTTCATTCCCAATAACAGAATCGGTTTGCATGACTCCCCATACATGTTGCAGCTTTGAAAACATTCATCTCAGAGTTAGGTATAAAGACATAAAAATGTGTGTCAAGCCCTCGTTAGCTGATGAGGTAAATGCATGGACAACTTCCTAGGACTTCTCGGCTCTGCCCTCTGTGACCTTGCAGCCTGCTCAGGTCTTTGTGCTCTGTTCCTTATCAAAAACAGCACAACCCCCTCAATCTGCCCATTTAAAAATTGGTGGAGTGAACAAAGAGCATGAAAATGTTGAAGACCACAACCAAAATTTACTCAAATCAAAGTTAAGTACAGAGTTTATTTTTAACAAATGTCATAGCTATGTCACCTTACTACAGAATCCAGCAGTCAGAAAATAACACAAAAAATGCCGAGGTTTGGCGTAGCTGGTAGCTGGGGACAGTGTCTTCGTTTGATTACTGCCAGTTATTTCCAGCATGCTAAATCCCTACCCACGTTCCAGCCTCTAGGTGAGTCAGTGCGTCACTCTGTCTCCCGTCCAATTAATTATTTCTCATCACTCCCTCAATCCAAGTAACAAACCTTGAAACACGAACATAGACACCAGGCTTATTGGGGCGTGCACAGCCAAGACCCCAAGAAGTGACTCCTTGTAAAATGTATTTGTCCTTCTCAAAGCAAACCAGAGGCCCTCCACTGTCACCCTAAATAGAGGTAGGGAAAAATTCATGTGAGGGTTAGGCTGCCAGCCTTTTATTGTGGCATCCATCTATTGTCCATATGTATATTTTCCCAGTAATTGAAATTGGAAAGGAACTTATGGGCATATTACTGGAGCATCTGCAGTGCTTAAGTACTTAGCAAAATCTATTCAGCGAAACCACACCACTTAGTTTCTCCCAGGGGTAAAAAAAACCCTTGTGAATCCTGCACACATCCCTTCCTGTGTTGGTGTTTCCTTTAGACTGGCCTAGCCTGGGCATCACTGTAAAGTATGTGCAGTTGGTCTCTGTCCTGTACCCTCTACCTCCTTCCCTGTCGGAAAAGTCACCACTTTAGTCCCTGGCCACCAGCACACCCCAGGAGGGTGAGTGGCCTGAGGTAGTTACGGCACTTAAAACTCCCTTGCTACCGATCTGGAACTCAAGCCCCAAGACATCCCCTTAGATGATCTGAATACGCATTCAGGGACAGATCTAGGCAGTTTCTAAACAACACTTAGACTGGGGTCTAACGTTGACAAATCCTTCTAGAATTTGCCTCTTTGGGACTGAAGTCTAAGGGGCTGAGACCAAGAAGGGAGAGCACAAGACTAACTTTGGTCTCTTGACCTTTTCTTACCTTGCAACTGTCAGTGCCTCCAGCCAAATGCCTAGCACAGAGCTCAGTGGATTTGATTCTTCCATTCAGATACTCATAGCGATTGCACACTTTATTCTCAATCACAAGAAGCTGGGGCTTCCTTGAGAAGGCCAGCCCCAAAGGTACCTGTGTTTAAAAGATGAAAGAAATGGTTGCTGAACCCAAAACATGTTTAGGAGGAAAACCAGAAGAACAGAGCAGTGGCACTGGACCTCCTGTCTGTCCGTGAGGCTGCAGAACACAAGGCAGCTCCCAATGCCGCTGGACTCTCTGACCTTGGAGAGTGTAAACATCATATATGATTCTGTGTTCCTGAGATCTGGGTTTAACGATCTGGGCTTTGTCATGGTGTTTTACGTTCGTTGTTGTTTGTGTACTTTTTGCTTTTCTTTTGAAAGTATGAAAATGATTTTTACAATGTAAAGAGAGTCTGAGAAATGCAATTGCTATTCTTTTTATATACTTTTTCAGATTTTTTATATGCTTCTTTACTACTTACATCATAATGCACAATTTTATATACTGATTTTTTCAATCAATGTATATCATGAGTTTTTAAAATAATGCTACAATCTTCATAACTAATATTTTAATGGGGAGTGACTGCTTAATTGGCATGAGGTTTCCTTTTGAGATGAGGAAAATGTTCTGAAAATATGGTGATGGTTGCACACCATTGTGAATGTACTGAATGCCATTCAGTGGTACCCTGCAAAATAATTAAAATCCTAACTCTTATGTTGTGTATATTTTATTGCAATAAAAAGAATAGTCGTCATTTACTAAGAATTAACCTTTTCAGGCACAAGCTCTTAATGTGGTGTATCTCACTTCATCCTCACAACCGTCCTATGAAACAGGCACTTTTATCATTCCTGTTCTACAGCTGAGGAAACTGAGGTGTAAGGAGGTTGTGTAGTTCAGCTTGAGCCTGGGTCTGCGGAGTCACTGCCCAAATGCTTCCTCCCCGTGCACACTGGCCCCACTCTTGCTTCCAATCTTCCACATGTTTGTTCATAAAGTTCATTCTCGTTTCTTTTCTGAAGTCTAAGTTCCCATAATTATGTTGACATATTTCCATCTCGCGGTAACACTCCCAAATTATTTTCTAAAAGTGTGTGACAGTATAAAATGTTACTGGAAACAATTCTCCTCACCCTTGTGAGTATTCAATTTTTAAAAGATTAGCTAACATAGTAGGTGGAAATTGTCCTGATTCATTTTCTGATTTACACTTCCTTGACAATTAGGGAGAAGAAATACAACTAGGGACAATTCTCCTAGTTGTAGTTTTTCTTTTGTGAAAAACTGCTTTATTTCCTTTGCCAAATTGAAACAGAACATCTGCTAAACTGCCAGAGGGAATGCTGTTTTTCCAGATGGACACGCCAAGGATGTCTCAGTGCTCTCACAAATAATCGTTTTCCAATTTTGCAAGCCCAGCTTTGATTAGAATTTCTCAAAATATTTTGCTTTGCGAGCATGACACAGGCAAAAGCTGAGGCACTCTTTCTTTCTTCCCCCAAAGTGTTGGACTGCACTTAGATCATTGTCTCAGGTTCAGAAAACTGACACTGAATCTGGAGTTTACATGAGCAGCGTAGAAGAGGCTCTTCCCAGAGCCTGGCTCCAGAGCCCAGCTCAGCCCTAGCCGGGAAGGAGCTGCATGGAGGAAGCTCCTCCTGGCTACCAAGCATCGGGCAGGGGGTGCATGACGTGGACTGTGTAGATGGGTGAGGGAGCACCCTTTTCAAAATATTTTGCTGAAAATTAAGTTAGATATCACTGCTCTCAGATCTGCTCTCAGAGCAAGGCAAACATCCTGATCAGGAGGTAAACCCACCACTAGTTGCCAGGAAATTGACGCGGTCTGTGAGTATGTGCTGCCATCCAGTGGCCAATGTAGAGATGGCACCTCTGAGGGCGGGGGGCCACGGGTGACCTTGAGGATTGAAGCCCTCCCTGATTGGGTCCTGGGGAGAGGGCCACAAGATTAGCCCAGTGATTGTGGATGGGGCTGACACGGAAGAGCCCCTTGGCCTCAACACCTACTCTGCATTTGGAATATCCAAGTCAAGGAAGGTCTGGAAACATGAAGGGGAGAGGGGGAGAATTTCGACCTCCCTCTGAGAAGCTGAGAACACCCATTGATCTGATGTCATCAACATATAGAAAATCGATAAACAGATCTGAGTTATGTTTTGTGACTCCTCCTGGTCTAGTTAGTGTTCTGAGAATCATTTTCTCAGTGGACATGTGGGTGAGACCAGAGGAGACAGGGAGCCAGTGCAGGATGGTGGTTAGAAATGTGCAGAAGGGGGTGGGAGAGAGGACACAGCGAGTGGGCTCTGGGGTCAAGGCCCGGTTACACGCCGGTTATGTGATGTTTATTTATGATGATAGTGGTGATAGTGATGGTGATAGTAGTGATAATAGTGATGATGGTGGTGGTGATGATGGTTGTGGTAATGATAATGGTGATGGTGGTGGTGATGGTGATGATGGTGGTGGTAGTGATAATGGCAATGGTGGTGATGGTGATGGTGGTGATGGCGGTGGTAGTGGTAGTAATGATGATGATGGCGGTGGTGATGGTGATGATGGTGATGGTGGTGGAATGGTGGTGATGGTAATGGTAGTAATGATGATGACGGTGGTGGTGATGATGTTGATGGGGAGGATGATGATAAGTGGTGGACGGGGATGACGGCGATGATTAATAACCCTAATCCTCACAATGACCTTATATGTAAGTACAGATGAGAAAGCTGAGGCTAAAAGAGATTAAATAACTGCCCAACGTCACATGGAATATGGGAGAGACAGAACTCACACCCGGATCCTTATGATTTTAGCTTCATGCTTTCATCAGTTGAAGTATTGTAGAGGATCTGTTTGTTTTCTGGCTGCCCAGCAGCCTTTCACCCTACATCCCATAATTCTGGTGAGGGATCTACCTTTTGCTCCCTTCTGGGTATGAATGGGGTCCTGCCTCCACCTTCAGCATGGAACAGCTGATGCAGGTCAGAGCCAATCAGTGACGGGCTCAGGGGCAGGACCATGACCCAATTTCAGTCTCTCAGAGTGGACAGACTATTGTTCATGTAAGGGAGAGAGTGGCCTTTCTTATTCTTTCTCAACAGAGCCAGAGCCACCACAGCATCTGCAGCCACGGGAGTGTCACCTTTGTGCCCCAAATAGTGCCTACTCCATGATTGGGAGGGTCTGGGGTCTGGGGCCTAATGTGAGCCTGAAGACTTTTCAGCTCACTAAGAATTTGCCTTGTTTTGCTTAATCCAATTTGAGTTGGATTTTCTGTCACTTGCAAGAAAGAGTCATGTTAGATTCAACTCTATTCCATATTATTAGTAGGAGCTGCCATGGTGGAGTGCTTAGGATGTGCTCGGCACTTGATGCACTTTCTTATTATTTCCCTGTAACAGCCCTGCAGCCCACATCAGCTAGGAAACAATCAGCGAGAGCTCACGACTTTTCTAAGTCCCGACAGCCCATAGGCGGGAGCCAGGGTTCCAATTCAGGTTTGTCTGTACCACCCTGCACCTTCTCTGAGCCCCAGCTTCCTCAATGGTAAAATGGAAACAACAATACCTAACGCGGAGAGGTTTCTAGTATTTAAATTTTAAAATATGCAAACACCAGGAGCAGCCTGGCACACCCATAGGTGTCCCTCAAGCCAAGTTTCCTTTTATTTGGCCTCACTGCTCCCAGACTAAGCAGTGCAGAAAAAGGGAACAAGAAGTCAAGGAGGTGAGGTTTTAAATATAATAGGAAAGAGACAGAAATAGGGAACCCAGCTTTGAAATTATCTAGGCCAGTGGTTTTTAACGTTTTTTAAAAACCCAAAAGACATTTCATTAAATGAAAGCTTATACAAAAGGCTGATGTGCAAAGCACCATTTGAAAATGCTGGTTTTACAGGGATTAGAGCCAAGTGATACAAAGAGGTAACGTGTGTAGTTCAGGTCTATCTGGCTAGTGGCAGAGTCAGAACGCTTTTCCAGGGCCCCAGACTCCCTACGCCCTCACCTGCACCTCTGAGAAAGCGGAATTGAGACATTAAGAGTTTTAGTTTTCCTACTGCCAAGGGGGTAAGGCTGATGGGTATAATAATTGTCAGAGCATACTGCAAAGAGAAGGAATCCTTAAAATGTAATACAGGTGCTGACACCACATCCTGCACAAGTGTTCCCTATCTTGCTCTCACCCATCAACCAATATCAAATGCCATCCTAGATTTGGGGCCACGGGGCCTGTCTGCCTCTTCCCCAGATGTAGGTCCCCTGCCTAACACCCTCCCACACACGTTAGACATGTGGGTATTTGGGAAGAAGACTAGTTTAACTATAACTTTTGTTGTTATTGTTTTACATCATATTTAGAAACCCAGTCTGGTGAATTTCAAATGAAAAATAATCTAACACCCTTAACTTGAGATCTGGGTCAAAACCCCACTTACCTGGGAAGCAATATGAACGCTGAAATTATGATTAAGAGACTCAGTGACCTCTACTGGCTTTTTGCTTGCTTTTGGTGTAAGGGAAACATACGATCATTTAAAAAAAGATTCTGAAAGCAAAAAAAGAGAGAGACTCAAAGAAATGGCCCCCTCCCCTTGCCCACATCCCTTGAAGACTGATTATGGAGACATAGACAGGTGCCCAGGCAAAGTCAGGAGAGTTGGACAATGTTCATGGATAGGAATTTGTACAAGGATCTCTAAAATGCTCATTTTGTAACATGCACTGTAGGTCAAAAACAATTTGTTATACGGGCAATGGAATTGATCTCACCTTGGGTTTCTCCCCAGCCAGTGACATAACATTCAATCCAGGCGGTGACCACGTAATTTGGGGATGGCAGACAGGCTGGGATTACTCTGTCAGTGATGATGGCAGGCCTATAAGGGAAGTATTAGCAGTTATGTTTGACTGCCCAGCTGGGAGCTGCAGTACCTATAACTAGGCATCCTTACCTTGAGGCCCCAGAGCCCTCTGAGCTGGCACTGCCTTGCTTCAATGACACAGAGCAACGTAGAACACAGCGTTTCACCCTCACATTTGCCTGTGGTTGCCTATGGACTACACAGATGTAAGGTTTCATTTGAAAGGCATGAGTTGCATGCAAGAAGCTGAGGGTGGCCTTCACCTTTGAAAGTAGGGATGACAAAGGCGCACTTCTCATGTATATTCTGTGCACGACTGGGATCTCATGCCAAGTGTGTCCTTTCATATTAATTGAAGAGGGCATTGATGACTGGGCAGAATGTCTGGCCGAGACATCATCAAGAGGGTATAAAATTGCAAATGTGTTGTGTGCCCAGAGCAAGTTGCTCCATCTGGATCCTCCACTTCCTCCTTGTGAATGTTACTAAACCGTGGTTGTAAGAATCCAGTAAAATGCTAGACATCAAATGAAAGAGGATTGGAAATAAGCACCTTGCATGAACAAAATGGCATTGTCAAAGAACATTTATATATCTTAGAGTTCCAGGAACTCTCAAACATTAGAACTCTGGTTTTTAGACCTGATTCTACTTTAGTAAGTTCAAGGGGATAAAGGACTGGATATGAGAAATGCCCTATTCTGACAAAGAATCATCATTGCCACCAACTTTGAAGCAGACACACTTTCTGCTTCTGGGCAACAGACATCTGTGGTGCAGAAGTCCTCAGTCTACAGGTTCCCTGGTGGAGCACTCTAGGGTGTGAGGATGTGGGGTGGGAACTCTAAACTCAAAATGTATCAGCCTATCAGAGAATACCTCCAAAACTCAAAATTTCCAAATTGCTTTTTCAAGCCATCAGAACACCCTAGCTCTCTGAGGACCATGAGGAGCGGAGACCTTGTATTTGCACATTTGCTGGGATGGTGGGGAGGAGACTGGGGAGCACGAGAGAGATCAGCTACTGTTTAGGCTGAGCCAGAAAGGCCCTTCTCTCCTTCCTAGAGTGTCAGAGCATCCCAGAACATCACTTGCTTTCTAGGACTGCATAGGCAGGTGATAGCTCAGAATACTGGCGTGAGCCACTCGGAGCCAGAGTGTAATGAAGAGTACAGGTAAAAAGTGCATGTTGGCAGCACTTTGATAAATCCATGAGGACACAGACCACCACGCAGTTTAGGAAAGAATGAATCTGAAATATGTGGAAGGTGAAAGCTCTGTAAAGCAAGGAGTTTCTAACCAATAAAGTAAAGAAAAATCAAATCAACGGCAGAGTGAAATGCAATGTGATCAGGTTTGTCGATGGCATTTCATAAACCTGTGAAAAGAAGGCTCTTTAGGGGAGAACAGTAATTGAGCACAGGCACCCTGATGTAGAAGTGAGCCAAGGAAGCAAAACATGCAGGCGGTTGGGCCTGTTTCCTATGCGTGTTTCCTAAGAGATACCCAAGAAAACTGAACTTATGAAAGGCATGTTCCACTGAAACAATACCCAAAAGGTCCAGGTTCTGTGGGATTGGACTGATTACTCTTCATTTATGGGGATCATGACCTATAATTTTTTCCTGTGTTTGTGAATGGATGAGTAGCCTCGGCATTGAATTCAATGATTCACAAAAGTGTAAAAAAAAAATCGTGCCTGTGACAGACTGTAGGTAAGTTTGCTCTTGTCCTCCCTCACTGCAAAGTGTCACATTTCTAAAAACTTCCCTCTCTTTTCATCTGACAGTGAGACAATGGATATCCATAGAAACCCTCAGAGCATCTTCAATATTTTCCAGCAATATCGGAACTTGGTGCAAATCACTGCGCCTACAGATTTTGATGTAGCTACTTAGATCAAGAAAAAGATTCCAATTTTGGCCATTTTCAAAGTAGAGAACCTAAAATAATATAATTATTTTTATTTTTCTATATTTTTTCCTCCTTCAGAAAACATAGAGGCAGGTACTGATGCCTCAGCTGTGTGGGTTCTGTGTAAATGTAGAAGGATTTTGTGGGGCTTGTGTGGAAGGACAATATAGTTGGTTTCTGGGCCTGTTCTTACCTTGTTGTAAGACTGACTTGCCAGGGCCAGGAATGTGGGTGGGCCACACAACCCCCTACAATGCTTCTGGGACATTTCTTTGGCTCCACTTGAGGCTTCCCACAATCAAATGAAGAGGATGCTGTGGCACAAGGTGGGAAAGAAGTCGCATTTGAGTCCAAGTTGGCAATTTTGTCAATTAATTTAGGACAAATTCCAAGCACTGAGTTTTTGATATTTCAAAGGTGAAATTAAACAGTAAAATTATAAACAACTTTTAGATTTTTTTTCTAGGTTTCAAAAGTGGTAGTAAACAACACAGGATGCTCTCCTTTCAAGGAAATATAAGCGCTTTCTAATTATTTTGTTGGAGAAGTGATCAAAGAAATTGGTATAGTTCAGCATTAGAATGAGATCTTTTCTGAGAAGACCTTGATTGGCACAAATAGTTATTCGTCATTGTTATTCCGAACAATGTTTAGAACATGATGTCATCCTTCCCATCATCATCCTCATCACCATCCCCATCTAACCCACATAAAGTTTACAGAAAGGCATGAAGGTTTCTTTTGCATGTGAGTCTGTGTGTGCACGTGTGTGTGTGTGTGTATGTGTGTGTGTGATTGTATGTAGCAAGGATTACTGTCCTAAGTTGAAATGTTGCCTTCTCTCAGCCAGCTTCAGGACAGCTCCTCTGGGGAGCCTCCCATGACTAACTGACTGTCATTGGGGTGACTTACACACATGTGCCTTTATTTTTCTTTTACCTCCTCTCTGCCTTCTCTCTGCAGCCAGCCTGCAAGATCTCTGGAGGTAGGAACAGTGTCCCATCTTTGGTACCACCCATCAATGCCTACAACAGTGCATAGGCTACAGAGGGTGTTCAAAAATGCTTCTCTGTCTCCAGTCCTTCAAGGTCTTCAAAATTATAAACATTAATATAGTTAATAATATTCACATAATTATTAATAACAACTGCAAGAGGAATTTCCTCCCCAACCAACCAGAGATTCTACACTCCAGTGAATTTGGAACCTGAGTTTTCCAAATAACTGTCCATTTGCCATGGGCTGTTCTGAGAATCTATCTATATAAGTCTTTTTTTTTTTTAAAGAAACATTGCATGGAATGAAATCATCTTCCCTAGTGCTGAACTCAATTTCTGCTAATATGCCTTACACACAGTATACATGCATCATTGTACTAAAAGAGTAACTACAGAAATTATGGTACCTGCTCCTACTATTTAAAATAAAACTGAATGTTTCTATTTATTTTTACTTATTATTTATACTGAATGTCTTAGTGGAAATGAACTAGCTATTAAAATCATTCTCCACCAGAGTCTCTAGATTTCTCAAGCATGAGTCAAACCTGAATAAACCACATCCTTCTGCAGGAAACCAAACCCACCAACCACATCCTTCTGTAGGAAACAGTTCTGAGGATTTCCAAGTGTCTTATGGGAACCCTTCTCACAAGGCTTGGGGTTAACCTCACTTGTCTTACATCAAGGTTAGGTGGGGGACCTCACAGTCCATTGGGAAAAATCTTGCTCCCATTCTTCCTTCTTTCTCCAATCTTTAAGAACTCGATTCTCATACAACCTTTATGTGGGTGAGGACAGCAGAAATGCACCTGGGAAGCTACTGCACTTTCCTACCATAGGAGTCAAAGGTGCATGAGTCCCAGGCACAGTAGTGGGGTCTGAGGCAAGAAAGTCAGTGTGGGCTCAACTTCAAGGCAGCCTGTCAAGGATAGAGAGCCCAGGCAGTGAGAGGCAGTGGCATGTACCAGACGGGGCCAGAAGTGGAGAACTGGAACTGACCCCATCGAGGGACTTTCAGGTAGAGGAGCCACCAAGATGCTTCTGCAGAACAAACAAAAACACCCACTCAAGGAAAAGGTCAGCTATCAACTCACACTAAATCCAGAGACCACAATGCCACAATACAATAATATTGGCCAAGTAGAATCTTTACTATCACCCTAACCTCTCATTCTTCCCTCTTGCTCTCCCCAGGAGTGTCCCAAATGCGAAGCTGGGCAGTGTGGCTCCCATAATCTTCATCACTGCCCTGTACCGCCTCCCCAGGAAATCTTGGAATGGTGGTCTTCAGTGGACTTGGAGGCCAAGCTGCTTCCCCCAGCTCAAGGTTCTTCCACATGGCAGACCCAACCACAAGCAACCAAATTATACAAATGAAAAGTCCAGGACAGCTTTCTGTAACTAGGACAGACAAGTTGATTGGTCAGCAGAAAGTAAAATAGGGGACAAGTCCAAGTGGCTTTTTGTTTTTTCAGAAATACCCATGGATTTGTTATCCCAGTTGTTTAAGATCTAATGTCAACTCCACTTACCCTGATCCAAGCCTCATACTCCCAACAAGAGTCTTGGAGCAATGAAGAGGGAACCCAACAAACAGTCTCTAAGCAATGATGCTAATGTGAATCGTGAGGAATAATCTTAGGAGAAAGGCCATTTGGGGCTAAAGAGCTGCACTACCCTTCACTGAATTCCTAGGATGGCCATCTGTAGGTTTACAATGTGCACCACATGCTTAGCTGTGCCCTGCTGTTCGTATATTTTTCATACTTCTCAGCTGCAGAAGAGAAAGGTTTTTTATCCGAATGACTGTAAATTTCTTTTTCATGCATCCCATGCTAGACACTGAAGTGCTCAGTGGGACCACCCTGGGGCTGATTAGATCACCTCTAAGTGTGCTCTTTGGGAATTTTACATTTATTTTATTTATGTGTGTGTGGTGGGAGGGGCGGGTGTTTCCCTAACAAATGGGGCCAATTGTAGGGCAGGTTCAAGATGCCCATGACGAAGGGCAGGCTCTGGTGGAGAGGGCAGCCATCTCCTCCCCAGAAGCACTCAGCTCAAAAGCCATTTTCTGGTTTTTTTTTTTTTTTTTTTTTTTGCAAATCCATATGAAGGAAGCAGTTTCCTTACCAAAACAGAAGGCAACTTACCACAGAGAGGGATATCACAGTAGTCAAAAAGTTTTCTTGGATTCACTCTGTAGCACCAGGGACCATTGATGTCACCATCAGGGTTACGGCAGTACTGAAAACAAGCAGGCATGTAAGCTCCAGCTCACGTGGGGCAAGAGAGGGAGAAGGTGTTCCAAGGCACACATGTTTCACATCTATTCTTAGAGACATAAAGGAGTGTTTCTTCTTCCTTTCTTTCTATTATTATTAAGATATTTTTCGCAAACTTATTTTTTGTATGCTCTAAAGCCATCAGTCATGTGTTCCAGTTCAAAAGAAGCTATGAGGCCACACCCTGACCAAAGGGGTGGTGACCCTGAAGGGTCTTTGGAGAATGGGCCTCTTCTCCAGAAACCCGACCCAGTGGAGGTCTTAGAGCCAGAGCCCCAGAGAACAGTGGAACATCATTGATGAGCTTTGTCCCTTGGGGGCTCAGGGCTCTTCTACCTGATAAAGCCTGTTAGCTGTTGAGTCAGAAACACTTACTTCCATGCATCATGCACCCTCCACGGGCGAGACACACAAAGGCAGTGTCATCCTTCCCTTCCTGTGATACTGAGATAGAATAAGAAATGTATATTGGGTCTCTGCCCCCCAGTTCCTAACAGAGCTCCTAAATCCCTTGGAGTTTCCTGGGTGAAGGGAGCTGCAATGAAGCAACTCTTGGTGGGTTCCTGGATAGCCTCCGGGGCTGGTTGCCAAGGGAACCAACCATGTGATTTGAGTGTTGGAACCAGTCAGCCCCACCCTCCAACCTCCAGGGAGGGAAGAGGGGCTGAAGTTGAGCTGATCACCGATGGCCAATGATGTAATTAACTGTGCCTCTGTAATGAAGCCTCCACAAAAACCCAACAAGACTGCACTTGGAGAGCTTCTGGGTTGCTGAACCCTTGGGGTACCTGGGGGTGGTGCACTAGAGAGGGCACAGAAGCTCTGAGCTCCTTTCCATGTGTCTTGCCCTGTGCATCTCTTCCGTCTAGCTGTTCACCAGGATCCTTTGCAATATCTTTTACAATAAATGGGTAAATAAAAGTAACGTGTTCCCCTGAGTTCTGTGAGCCACTCCAGGAAAGTAATCAAATCCACGGAGGGTCATGTAGAAAAACAGAATTTGTCCAGTACAGGTCACAGCCTGGAACTTGGGATTGGCATCTGCAGTGGGGCGGTCTTGTGGGACTGAACCTTAACTTGTGGGATCTGACACTGTCTCCAGATAGAGTGTCAGGACTGAGTTACATTGTAGGACACCCAGCTGGTATCTGCTGGAGACTCACTTGGGGTATGAGGAGAAATCCCCCCACATCTGGTGTGAGAAGTGTTATGTTACATGGGTGTGAGAGTGGGGGAACACAGACACTTGGGTTTTTCCTATATCTCAGTCTTCCCTATACACAGGCCCCAAAGTAAACCATCCCAGAGAATGCATGAGACTAGGAGAAGTCCCACTGCCCCTTGATGGCCCATCCCAATCTTTTCTAGAAAAATCTGACTCAAGCATCATAAAGGACGTCTTTGACCACTAGAACCTAGAGCAATGGTCCCCAACCTTTTTGGCACCAGAGACTGGTTTCATACAAGGCAATTTTTCTATGGACCCAGGGTGAGGGGGCATTGGTTTCAGGATGATTCAAGAACATTCCATTTACAGTGTACTTTATTTCTATTAAAATTACATTGCAATATATACCGAAATAATTGTGCAACTCACCATAATGTAAAATCAGTGGGAGGCCTGAGCTCATTTTCCTGCAACTAGATGGTCCCATCTTGGGATGATGGGAGACAGTGACAGATCATCAGGCATTAGATTCTCATAAGGAGTGTGCAACCTAGATTCCTGGCATGTGCAGTTCACAATAGGGTTTGTGCTATGGGAATCTAATGCTGCCACTGATCTGACAGTTGGTGGAGCTCAGGTGGCTATGAGAGTGATGGGGAGCAGCAGAAAATACAGATGAAGCTTTGCTCACTTACCTGCTGCTCACCTCCTGCTGTGCAGCCCAGTTCCTAACAGACCACAGACCAGGATCGGGACCAGTACCAGTACCAGTACCAGTACTGGAGTGGGAACCCCTGGCCTAGAGGACAAGGACTAGAAATGAGAAACAGCACCCAACAATGGAAACAGTAAAGAAATGTCACAAAAGAGAAGAGGCCTGAGAATCCCCACACGCGTGGGGCTTTGCTGGCCTGTGCTGCTTACACTTTCCATGCTAAGGCCAATTACGCTTAGCCTCCTGAAGTCTTTCCAGTATTTTCCTCTGCCCATCCTCTGTTTGAAAAGATGTGTCAGCAAAGGGAAAAAGAGTCCAAATCAAAGTGGCTTACATTTTTTTTTATTATACTTTAAGTTTCAGGGTCCATGTGCACAACGTGCAGGTTTGTTACATATGTATACATGTGCCATGTTGGTGTGCTGCACCCATTAACTCGTCATTTAACATTAGGTATATCTCCTAATGCTATCCTCCCCCCTCCCCCCACCCCACAACAGGCCCTGGGTGTGATGTTCCCCTTCCTGTGTCCATGTGTTTTCGTTCAATTCCCACCTGAGTGACAACATGCGGTGTTTGGTTTTTTGTCCTTGCGATAGTTTGCTGAGGATGATGGTTTCCAGCTTCATCCATGTCCCTACATTTTTTTCCAGACCTGCCCGTGGACTTGTCCCTGGAGTGAACCTGCTGTGTCTATGGGGCTCTTGGGCAGTCCATTCTTGGCGTGGCGTCCCAGTAACAGTGGTTGCCTTCTTGCCCCGGTATCCTTTCCCATTCCCAAACATAGAGTCTGTAGAAAAAAAAAACGAAAACAAAAACAAAAAGCAGATGATATGCACAGCCACATAGACCCAGGACAATATGGAATCAATGCAGTCATGTCAGGTTTCTCTAGGACGACGGAATCAGGGGCCACATTAGTCAGAAGCCACTGCTGAAGACTGCCATGAACACTATTTTAAGAAATTACTGGAAATGTTTATTGGCTTGGAAAGAATCACATAGTTGACAGCATGTTAGAATAGGAATTTGACTGGGACACTGAAATAACCTATTTTAGAACAAGGTGAGTGGTTAAGTTGAGCACCCTGGAGGTTTTGCGCCAGTCCTAAAGTCACTACACTCGCAAGTTGTGCCAAAAATCACAGCTCTGGCTTTCCCAGGGACGGCATTGAGGCTTCCTTGGTCATGGCAGACCCTCAACCAACACTCGAGCTCCCGTGCAGCACTAAAGGCTTCTGCATCAGTGTGGTTTTTCATGTCTTTTCATCCCGTTGTCCAAGCACATAGATGTCTGGATACAGACTTTTTACTTGTTCGGAAGGAGCCTCTAGGCTTGGAACCTGGATAACAGTCGGAGGAGCGACCACAGTCCCTTCTGTCTGAGCATCGCGTCAGGTTGCAGTACTCCCACCTGACGCTGGGGTCTGTGGTAAAACACCAAGGGCCTGTATCGGCATCTGGATTCCTGCAGTAGTTCATTGTCAGGCCACTGGAAATTCCAAAGCAATACAGGTTACAGGAGGCGGAAGAATATTCAGGGGCACCCAGCACCCTCTACATTTTGTTCTAACAAAGCCTTAACAAGTGACTTTGAAATATTCCCATTAAGGGTACCATACAATTACTACAACAAAAAAGGTCCTCAATTTCTTTTCTTTTTTTAATTTTTTTTAATTTTTTTTTTTTTTTTTTTTTTGAGACAGAGTTTTGCTCTGGTTGTCCAGGCTGGAGTGCAATGGCACGATCTCGGCTCACTGCAACCTCCGCCTCCTGGGTTCAAGTGATTCTCCTGCCTCAGCCTCCCAAGTAGCTGGGATTACAGGCATGCACCACCATGCCTGGCTAATTTTATATTTTCAGTAGAGACGGGGTTTCTCCATGTTGGTCAGCCTGTTCTCGAACTACCAACCTCAGGTGATCGCTTGCCTCGGCCTCCCAAAATGCTGGGATTACAGGCGTGAGCCACTGCTCCCGGCTGGGTCCTCAATTTCTAACCCACTGCATACCCTTAAAAGATAGATTCTAATTTTTATTTTAAAATATCAAAAGTAGTATATGCTTGTATTAGTCCGCTCTCACATTGCTATGAGGAAATACCCGAGACAGACTGGGTAACTTACAAAGAAAAATGTTTTAATTGACTCACAGTTCCACATTGCTGGGGTGGCCTCTGGAAATTTACAATCATGGCAGAAGGCAAGGGAAAAGCAGGCACCTTCTTCACAGGCGGCAGGACAGAGTAAGTGGAAGCAGGGGAAATGCCAGACACTTACAAAACCATCAGACCTCAGGAGACTCTCTCACTGTCATGAGAACAGCCTGGGAGAAACTGCCCCCATGATCCAGTTACCTCCACCTGGTCCTGCCCTTGACACATGGGGATTATCAGGATTATAGAGATTACAAGTCAAGATGAGATTTTGGGTGGGGACATAGCCAAACCCTATCAATGCTCCATATAAAAACTGAGATCATATATAAATGTGCTTAAGAAAGGACCAGAATACCCTCCTTCTACCTTCTGCCAAACACATACCTCTGGAGGAACCGGTATAGATTTTGAAGTGTGTCTTATAGATTTTTTATGCACATACAAATACACCTATGTCTCTCTAGCTCTCTGTATCTCTCTCTATAGGATTGTATATTAATATGTGAGTTGGAACTAACATATATTTCTCCAAGGAGGAAATGCCATCCAAGATGATATCATTCCCAGGCCAGCCCCCTTACTCTCTGTACTCGTTGTGTAGCTAAAAGGCTCTGCATTTACAATGAAAAACAACCATGAAAATAGTATTACTGTCAATACCATTTCAGGTGGGTCAAGTGGGTTTGAGTCTACAAGACTTATAAAAGCTGAACTGGAAGACTAGCTCCCAGGCAGGATGCTGTTTCTCTAGGATGGGTTCCTGGGCAGGACCTCCTCTCTTGCTCTCAGTCCATCCTCTGCTGGCTGCAGCCACTCCGGGACTGAGGGAATGGGGGATGAGATGAAGGAACAGTGGGACCCAAGGCATAAAGGGAGATGGCTGGCTAGACTATGGGATCTGAAGAGGTCAATTGACTATGGAGGAGGCAGAAAAAAAATTGAATAAGAGGCACAGCAGGTGAGGACCCCAGGGTTGGGGGCATCTTGGAGAATGTGCTCCCCTTCGTTCCTCCCAGGAATGTTGCTTCAACCTCTCAGAATCCTCACATTCATGGCCTGTGGCTGTCTGAGAAAACTTGAAATGTATTATGTACCATGGGAATGCAACACTATCTCTGTAGAGACTCTACACATGTGACCCAGTCTCAAGCCCAGACTCCCAGCTACAGGAGGCTGGTTCTCCAAGCAACTGGATATGTTAGCAAGTGTGGTATTCGAAGGAGATTTTTTTATCTATTTTCAACTGAGGTACACTTTCATGTATAGTCAAATGCACAGATCTTAGATGTAGTTTGATGAATTTTGATGAACATGTACACTTGTGTAACTCGCAAGTTACGATCGTGACACAGAACATTTACATCACCCCAGAAACAACTTTTGTTTTACGGCAAAATCAATCTCTGCTAATTTCTTCCCATGGCCAGAGGCAAATGATACTGGTTTCCTTCAAGAGAAATTATTTTTGCCTTTCTGGAACCTTATATCAATGGACTCATATATAATGTTCATTTGTGTTATCTGACATCTTTCCTTAATGTAATATTTTTGAGCTTCATCCATGCTATTTGAGAGTATCATTAATGTGCTCCCTTTTATTGCTGAATAGTATGCCATTGTATGAATAGATCGCAAATTATTTATTCATTTTCTTATTGATTGACACTGTAGTTGCCTACAGTTTGGGGTATAAAAAATAAAGCTGCTATGAATATTCTTGTAGATCTCTTTGTGGAATTATGTTTTCATTTCTGTTGGGTAAATATTCAGGAATAGAATTGCAGATTTGTAGAGTAGATGTGTCTTTATTGAACTTTTGGAGAAATCATCAGACTGATTTCCAAAGTGGTTTTATCATTTTGCACTTCCACCAACATACGAGAGAGTTGCATATCCTTGCTCTACATCAGTGACATCAGTTACTGTGGTGTCTTCTTAATAATATCCATGTCCACTGGGTGTTTGGTGACATCTCATGATGGTTATAATTCTTTATTTTTCATGGCTGAGATATTGGACATTTTTTCAAGTGCTTATTGGTTTTGTGTGTATCCATCCCTGAGAAATGCCTATTCAATCTGTTGCCTTTTTTGATTAAGTTGTTTGTCCCCTGTTTAGCAAGTGGGAGAAATGTTTCTATACTCTGGACACAAGCCATTTGTCAGATAGATAGAAAGAGAGCATTTTTCTTCTCATGTGTTATTTGCTTATTTATTTTCTTAAAAATGACTTTTGGTGGGCATGAGTTTTCATTTTATGAAAGCCCACATCATAATTTGTTTTCTTTTATAGTTAGTGTTAATGACTCCTCTGTCAAAAAAAATTGCCTTCTCCAAGGTTGTGAAGATTTTATATTTTCTCTTGGAACTTTCATATTTCAGTTTCAGTTTTAGCTCTGACACTTAGGTGGAAGAGATATCTCAAATTAATTTGAGATGAAAAGTAAAAGTCAAGGTCTGTTTTTGTTTTCTATCATGGATATCCAAATGGTTCAGAATGATTTTTGTAAAAGATTATTGTCTCCATTTAATTGCTTTGTCATCTATATAGAAAATCAATTGACCATATGTATGTGGGTCTGGTGCTGGACCATCCCTTTTTAGTTTTGCATACTTTTTTGCCAATAACGCATATCTTTTTATTTTTTGAGATAGGGTATCATTCTGTCATCCAGGCTATAATGTAGTGGCATGATCAAGGTTCACTCATGCCTAGACCTCCTGGGTCAAGTGATCCTCTCCCCTCAGTGTCCTGAGTGGCTGGAACTACAGGTGTGACTCATCACACCCATCTAATGGTTCATTTTTTTTTGTGGAGAGAGGGTCTCGCTCTGTTGCTGAGGCTGGTCTTGAACACCTGGGCTCAAGCCATCCTCCTGCCTCAGCCTCCCAAAGTGTTGGGGTTACAAGCATGAGCCAAGGGTCCTGGCCAATACCACGTCTTGATTCTTGTACCTTTATAAGTCTTTATATTAAGGTATGTAAGTCCTCCACATTTTTTCCAAAAAAGGACTGCAGCAATAGTGTTTGGGTGAGAGTTTAATCCAAAGATCAATTTGATGAGAAGTGATATTGAGCCTTTCAATCTATAAGCATGGTGTATCTTTATTTAGATCTTTTAATTCTTTCCTTGACAACGTTTTCTAGTGCAAGCTGTATAGTCCTTGTGCATAGTTTGTTAAATTTATCATTAAATATTTTTTGGTTTTGATAACATTGTCAGTGATATTGCTTTAAAACATTTATTTTTCCAAATGATCATAGAAAGTATACAGAATACCAATTAACTGTTATACACAGAGCATGTGTATATTTTTTAGGACTGTCTGCATCCATTAATCAGGTTTTCCTTCTGGTTTTTCATTCTTTCTTTTTGTTTTCATTTTTGGGTCTTGGTGCAAAGGCTGTGACCATTGTAGTGAAGTGGTGATGAGAAGTATTGAGAGCAAACATCTTTCTTATTCCCAATCTTAAAAAACAATAATATTTCACCATTAACATGATGTTTGATGGAGGTTTTACACAGATGCCCTTTATGAGGTTAAAGGAGTACCATTCTGTTTCTAGTTTGCTGAGACATTTTATTATGAAAGAGTGTTGAATTTTCTCATATTTCCTTCTGCATCTATGGATATCATGTGATTTATCACTTTTATTCTGTTATTATGTTGGATTACATTGTTTGTTTTGCAAATGTTAAATCAACCTTGCATTCTCAAAGGGAAGCTCCAGTTTTTTTGTGATATTCATCACATTAATGATAAAAATACATTTTAATATTGCTGGATTTAATATCCCAATATTTTATTAAGTCTTTTTGTGTTTATTCACTATAGACAGTATTCTGCAGTTTTTTTTTCAATATCCTGTGTACTTTTTTAACTGGGTTTTTTTGTTCTCACAAACTGAGTTAAGAAGTATTCCCTTCATCTCTATTTTCTGTAACATACTGTGAAAAATTGGAATTATTTCTTCCATAAATAACAAAATTTCTAATGAAGCCATCTGGGCCTAGAGATTTCTCTGTGGAAGTGTTTTGATTTTTTAAAATATGTATTATTAAGGAATATAAACATACGTAGTCTTGAATAGGTATCACACTGTTTAGCAATTCAACTTATTCAGTGTCTGACCTGCATATTTGTTTTCTTCCTAAGGAATCAGTCCACATTATCTAAGGTACTGGATTTGTTAACATAAGTTGTTCTGAGTATTTTCTTATTATCTTTAATACCTGTAGCATTCTGTAGTGATAACTCCTCTTCTCTTTTATTCCTGATGGTGGTGGTTGTTCTCCCTTCTTTGTTTGTCATCAGTTTAGCCAGAGGTTTATCAATCGTAAGGATATTTTCAAGGAACCAACTTTCTGTTGCACAGATTTACTCAACTGTTTATTATTTTTACATTGAATTTCATTTTTTTAATCATTTCCTTTCTTTCACTTACCTTGGGTCTTATTTGCTTTTTATATATTGCTAGATCCAATACCTCAATATTTTATTAAGTATTTTTGTGTTTATGTTTACTATAGACAGTATTCTTCTCTAGATTTTTAAATTGCTTTCTTAGATGAACAATTCCCAATATTTTTATTTTTAGGATCACTCTGCATTCTTAAAAAGTATTGGGGATCCCAAAGAGCTTTAGTTTTTGTAATATATACAAATATGCAAATATATTGTTGCAATCGAAACCGAAACAGAGAATTTTTTGAACCATAATATAGACAATCATACATTTTCCTAGCCATTAGAGAGATGATTCCACTACACATTATGTAGCTGCTGGAAAGTTTCACTGTACCTTTGTCAGAAAATGAAAGTGAAAAGGGCCAATAAAAAATGTTTCTTAATTAAAAATATTTTATCTCCCTAGATTCTCCGAGGGGATCTCATGAGTCCCCAAGTTTCTGCTTTGAGAATTGCTATCTCAAATCATTGATTTTTAAATGTTTCTATTGTCTACTAAGAGCATTTAAAGTTGTAAATGTATAAAGACATTAACTGTTTCCCACAAGTTTGAGTATACTGAATTATTATTATTATTATTCAGGTCAAAACTTTTCCAAGTTCCTTGGAGATTTCTTCTTTGACTCATGGAACATTTAGAAATGTGTTGTTTTATTACCAAATATTCAGCAATTTCCCAATGTTTTGGTTATTTATATCTTATTTCTTTCTGTTGTGTTCAGAAAACATACTATGTATCAATGTAATTCTTGAAAATTTATTGAAACTTTTGTAAGGCCACATATATGGTATACCTTGATGCATGTTCCATGCACATTTGAATGTGTATTTTGTAGTTTGGCATAGTATTAAATAGGTTGATGTTTTACTTTAAATCTTATATATTTTTTCTGATTTTGTATGAATGTGTTCTTTTACATTTTGTTTTTGGAAGATTTATAACAATAGTAAGAGAAAAATGAAGAAATTTCCATCTCTAATTGTGGACTTATCTATTTCTCTCTTTAGTTCTGTCAAGAACTAAGTTCTAAAGTTTTGCTTCATATTTCACAATTGCTGTTATTAGGTGCAACACATTGAGCATTGTTATGTCTTCGTGACTGGACCCTTTTTCTTATGAAGTGTCCTTTTTGTTTTTGTATTATTTCTTGTCCTGAAATCAACTTTGTCTGTTATAAATATTACCACTCCAGTTTATTTATGATTCAGGTTTTCATGGTATATATCATTTTTCATATTTTGCTGTTTGTAGGTCTTTACACTGAAAGGGCATTTATTATAAAAAGAACACAATTAGGCTGCAGTTTTTATTCAATTTACAGTCTCTGCCTTTTATTTGTAGTGTTTAATCATTTTATATTTAATATACTCATAAGGTGGTCATAAGGTGGTTCAGTTTATATCTACCACAATGCCATGAATTTTCTGTGTACACCATATCATTTTTATCCTTTATTCCTCCTTTGCTTCCTTCTTTTGGACAAGTGAACTATTCCTCTTATTATCCATTCCTCTCAGTTTAAGTTTTTGTGGTTTTCCTAGGAGTTATGATATCTCACCTTAAACTATCACATTCAACCATGTATTAATATTATATAACTTCATGGGTAATGCAAAAAGCTTATAACAGTATATTTCCATTTATCTTCTACATTATTTATGCCACTTTTTTAAAATAAATTTTACTTTTACATATGTTACAATATATTCTTATTAATTCACATCACAAATTGTCCTTTAAATTAAAAAAAAGTATTTTATATTGACATTGACATTTGCCATTTCCAGGGCTGTTCATTGCTTAGTATGGATTAAAGTTTCCATCTGGTATTATTTTTCTTCTACCTAATTGGCTTTCTTTAACATCTTTTATTACAGAAGCCTGCTGTGGAAACATTCTTTTGGTTTTTGGTTGTTTCCTCTGGAGGTGGCAGAATACGTATTTACATCACATTTATTTTCAAGGTTTTTTTTTTTTTCCTGGACATGTTGTCCTAGGTTGATCTGATTTTTTTTCTTTCTAATCACTTTAAAGATGTTATTTCATTGTTTCTGAGAAGAAGGCATAAGTCATTTGCATCACTGTTCCTCTATGTAAATGATCTTTTTTCCCCTCTAGCTTATAATAAGATTACCCTGGTTATCTTTGATGTTGGACAATTTAACCATGATATACCCAAGTAAATCATAAATTTTTGCTTTTAAGAATTCTATTTCTGATTAGTTGAGCTTCTTAACTGTGAGTATATAATTTTCTTCATATTTGTAAAGTCTTCAGCCGTCATTGCTTTCATTATTTTTTTCTGTCCCAATATCTCTTTCCTGTTCTTCTGTGACTGTTTGTATGACTTTCATTGCATTATTTTCTAGTTCACTTTTTCTTCTGCAATGTATAAACTCAGAGTAAGACCACCCAGTGAATTTTTTATTAAGGACGTACTTTTTTGTAGTTCTTTACTTTCCATTTGGTTGTTTTATATGTTGCTTTTTTCTTGGTATTCTGCACTTGTTTCTCTTATGTCCATGTTTTCTTTAAATCTTTGAACACAATTATCATATATACACAGTTTGAATTTCTTTACCAATTCCATTGTCTTTATTATTTGTTGGTCTATTTGTATTGACTGATTTTTCTCCCAGTTATGGTTGCTTTTTTTGCCTATTAAATTTTAAAATTTATGTCACTCATTGTGAATGTCACATTACGGAGTACCATGATCCAGTTATTTACCTCCAGTGATGGTTGAGTTTCCTTCTGTCAGGCAGTTAATTTACTTGGAGATTATTTGGATCCTTTTAGACTTGGTTTTTAAGTTTTGCTAAGGTATTTCTGGAGTAGCCTTTATTCTAAGAAGGCATAAATCCTGCTCCTAAAGTATGACTTTCCTGGGGTCTCTACTGAATGCCCGAGATGTTCAATGAGGTGTCTCTCCTTAGGCTGATCAGAACCCCAGTATCCCCCAGTGCTACGTGAGCTCTGGCGTCACCATTGAGCTCACTGTTTCCCTGAATTTGTCCTTTCCCCAGTAGTGGTTCTCTGTCCCACTTTGTAGAATTTCTCCCTGTGCATATGCAGTTTATATTAGACTTCCATGCATATTCCTTCAGCTCCTTTTCACCACAAATTCTTTCTCATTATTACCTAGCATAGAAAATACACATTTTCTTAGCTATCCCAAACTCCAGTCTCTTTCCTCAGTTCAGCAAGACTGCTGTGGTTGGCTTTGGCTCCAATTCCTTGCCCTTCAGTCCAGGAAGGTTCTCCAGGAAGAAAGTCATAATAGTTATGGAGTTGCGCTCATTCATTTCCTTTTCTAAATTATCTCAGTCCTGTACTGTCTCTTGTCCAACATGTGGAAAGTTTTTTTGTATATCTTTTGTAGTCTTTTATGGCAGAAAGCCAGTTTTTGTCAGACCAGGTTTTTTGTCCATGTACCGGCCCGTTTTAATCTGTACATCTGTTTACTTCCTGACTGACTCTCATCTACGTTCTTGCTTTTGCTCTTCCTGTCCTGGCAACCCATATCCCTTCAGAAAACTGGAGCTTAGAACCCAGTGTGTTCACACAGGTGTATATATATAACTATATATAACTATATATATATATACACACACACACATAGTTATATTATGTGTGTGTGTGTGTGTGTGTGTGTCCTGCAGATTGTATAGCTATATAGCCTGCAGCTGTGCAGACTATAGGGTGATTGGTCATCAGTCAGGGACAGACATGAAAACCTTGCACATTTCCCTAGACCATATATGAATACTTGCCTGTATGAACACATATATGAATACCAACCTATATGAGCACATATATATGAATACTAGTCTGTATGAACACACCTGGTTCTATATATATGCACACACATGTGAATTATTTACTTGTGACCCATGACAAAAATGGCAAACCCAACCTTCACTTCAGGGAAGGGAGGTTAGAATGATAGAATTGCATGGGTGAAAGACTGCATTGATCTTTTATGAGCCTTGTAGAATGGCACTCTATTTGATCGTTTGTTCTCCTGAGCTTTATATTAAAAAGACCTCATCAGCTCCATGTAGCCTTCTGCTTCCATCAGACTATTAGAAAAGATAGCAAGCCTAAAATACCTATTCTCTCAGACTCTTTGATCAAAAGCAAAGTTGTTTGGACATTTTGACACACCTTCTGGGTCTAAGGGAAATTTGTCCTAACAAGTTAGCTTGAAGCAAGGCTCTTCTAGGAGGAACTTAAGTTGGCTGTTGCTCCTCTTACAAGTAACATCAAAGACATACTCATTTGGGTAGTTTTCTGGGGTCCTCTGATGCCGGTGTGGTGTCATGGATGACCAAGATTGACATGTCCTTCCTGTGACAGTGGTGGAGAATGTGCCTTGATAACTCTGTCCATTACCATGGTAGCACTGCCGGACCACAGGGGTTTGCTCAGTTGGTGCTGAAAATAGTCAAAATCAAGCTCAGTAATTACTAGTACGCAGAAACATGTGAAGCAATTTATGACACAAACAGGACAGTAGTTTCAGAATTATGACTGTTCTCTTCAGAATACTCGCAAGCAGAAGGACATGCTGAAGCAAAAACAATAGATTAATAGCATTCTAATATTTTAATAAGTTCTTAGAAATGTTATATTCAAAATCTGGTGGGGAAAGGACCTATCAGTGTTCTTACAATTGCAACTAAGACTCATGTGCAAGCTCTTTTGTGTGGCTCTCTACTGATTGTTCATGAGAACAACAAGGCAGGAAACCAGACAGTGATGGATTAGGCCATGCAGGCTGTTGGGTGATTGGCTGTCAGTGGGGGACAGACAGGAAAACCTTGCACATTTCCCTAGACCATTGCTCCTGAAAAGCCAAAGCCTTAAGCTTCTGGTGGACGGGGCAGTTCATGGTCCTGCATCTAGTACTTGCAGGCAAAGACACATTGCTTCTTAGAGAAGGATGGAGACTAAAATCTTATTCCCTTACAGGAGAGACAGGGAATCCTCTTGTTCCAGCACCCTGCATTGCAACAAAGCAGAAGTCTACTACCTTTCCTCTCAACACACACCAAAGATGCACGTTCCACGAGAAGAAGGCGCAAGAACACCAAGAAATTCCTGCCTTCCAAGCATAGGTGTGCAGAGCCTACCTAAGACTAAGATAAGCCAGAGAAATAATGCATTCTGTGGTTATGTAGTGTCAAATAGCCCCAGGATTAGATGGAATAAATGTCATCATATTAGGTTTCTCCAGGATGACAAACTCAGCGGCCACATACCTCAGCAACCACAATGCAATGATTGCAATGAACACTGCCCATTTTACGAAAGGCCTGGAAACACTCACTGGTGTGAAAATTGGCACAAATTTGGCCGGACGTTAGAACTGGAATTTTGTCTAGGACACCAAGATAACTCACTTAACAAGATGAGTGGTAAGTCAAGCGCCCTGGAGGGTTGCACCCTTCCTAAAGACACCATTGACTAGCATTGCACCAAAAATTACACCTCTTGCTAGAGCAGAGAGGGTGCTGAGGCTTCCTTATGCACGGCATAACCTCAACCAACCATCAAGTTTCTCAGTAGCATGGAAGGCTTCTGCATCTGTCAGATTTTAAATCTTTTCATCCCAATGTTCAAATGTGTAGATGTCTGGCCACAGACTTCTTACCTGCTTCAGAATGAGCCTCCATGCTTGGAACTGGAACAACAGTGGGAGTCTCTAGGACACTGATTCTGTTTCTGAGCATTGTGTCAGGTTGCAGTACTCCCACCTCACACACGGATCAGTTGTGTAACACCAGGGTTGTTTCCCAGAATCTGGATTCCTGCAGTAGTTCCTGGTCAGGCCACTGCAAATTCCAGAACAATACAGGTTACAAGAGATGGTAAAAAATTCAGGGGCACCCAGCACTGTCTAAATTTTGTTACAATAAAGTGTTAAAAAGTGACATTTGAATATTCCCATTTTAGGTAAAATGATATTCCCAAGGCAAAAATGGTCCTCAAGTTCTAAAGAAGAGTGTAAATTTCCAAGATAGATTATAATGTATATTTTAAAAAATCAAAAATAGTCTATGCTCCATTTAAAAACTGAGATCATGCATAAACGTACACAAGAAAAAAATTAGAGCTGGGTGCGATGGCTCACACCTGTAATCCCAGCACTTTGGGAGGCTGAGGCAGGCAGATCACCTGAGGTCGGGAGTTCGAGACCAACCTGACCAATACGGAGAAGCCCTGTCTCTAGTAAAAATACAAAATAAGCTGGGAGTGGTGGTGGGTGCCTGTATTTCCAGCTACTTGGGAGGCTGAGGCAGGAGAATCCCTTGAGCCCAGGAGGCAGAGATTGCAGTGAGCCGAGATCGCACCATTGCACTCCAGCCTGGGCAACACAAGCAAAACTCCATCTCAAAAAAAAAAAAAAAAGGGAAAAAGATCAGAATATGTTTCTCCTTCTGCCAACTGCATTCCTCCAGAAAACTGATGTGGATTTTTTAAGTGTGCATCTTAGATTTTATTAATGCACATAAAAATATATAATATATTGATATCTGTCTACTTCTTTATATCCTTCTTTAGGACTCTACAGTAACATGTAAATTGGAATCAAAATATATTTCTTCAGGGAAGAAATGGCATCCAACATGACACCATTCCCAGGCCAGCCCCCTTACTCTATGTATTCGCAGAGGAGTCAGAAAACAATGGAGTAAGAGGCAAAGGTGGTGAGTAACCCGCGATGGGTGTATCTTGGAGCATTTGCTCCCCCTTATGAATCCCAGGAACATTGCTCCAACCTCTCAGTATTCTCGCATTCATGACCTGTGGCTGTCTGTGAAAACGGGAAATGTATTATGTGCCATGGGGATCCAACACTCTCTCTCAAGAGACTACACATGTGACCTAGTCTCAAGCACAGACCCTCCATTCAAGAAGCTTGTTCTCTGAGCATTTGGATGTGCTCAGAGCCGAGCAGTTGACTTATTTTTCTTCCTTGGCTGCCTTCTTTTTGACATATGGAATATTCTTGTCATAGAATATACCTCAGTGTTCACAATTTTGTGATTACTCTAGAATTTGCAATATCTCTTTGAACCCAAATATTTCAAACTTTTATTATGTACCATCATAGGTAAGGCAAGAAACTTACAATGGTATAATTCTTTATTCCCTACACGATTTATGCTACATTTTCAAATTTTTACTTCAAATATGCTAAAATAATACATATTGCTGTCATTTTGCTTCAAGCAGTCAAATATAATTTAAGGCAATTACGAAATTTGATCAAGAAAATATTTTTGCATTTACATCTACATTTGCCATTTGCTGGGTTCTTCAATACGTGGGATGCAGAAAGTTCCCACCTTGTACTATTCTTCTTGTACGTAATTCCCTTTGGGCCACATCTTTTGTGACATAAGCCTGCTGATTCCAAATTCTCATAGCTTTCGGATTTCTTGTTTGGGGGGTGCACAAAATGCAATTATACAACATTGATGATTTTCAAGGCAGTGTATAGCTGGATGTAGCATTCTCGGTTGATCTCTTCTTTTCCCTGTTTATCATTTTAATGATATTCCTTTGCCTGCAGTTTGCCATGTTTCTGATGAGAACACATTAGCCATTTGTATCACCGTTCCTCTAGCAAGACACAGCTCTTTTTCCTACAGTTTCTCACAAGATATTTCTTGATACTATATCTTTGTCTTCTGAGAGTCAAACTGTGATGTACCAAAGTGCTTCATACAGTTTTCTTTTTGAAAATTCCCTTTCTGATCCACTGAGCCTATTGAATCTGTAATTACTTAACGTTCTTCATATTAGGAAGGTTTTCAGCCATTCTTGCTTCAGGTACTTGTTATTGTTTCAGTATCACCTTCCTCTCCTTCTGTGCCTTGCTTCTCACAGGTAGGAAACCTTTTTATATTTTCCTTTGTGTCTGTGAGGCTTGGTTGATTTCACTTTTCAGGATTTGTGGATGTGAGTGTGTTTGTGTGTGTTTGTAAGCTTGTGCATGTGTGAGTGTCTGTGTGTGTGTGTGTGCATGTGCGCGCGCACGCGTAGCTGTTTCTGTAGTTTCTATAAATTTTCTTTCAGTTAGTTTTTCTTCTGAAACTTCTAACTGGATGAGGAGGCCACCCAGTACTTTTTTGATTTAAGGCATACCTTTCACTAGAGTTCTAATTTGATATTGCTCTTTTATACTGTTACTTTCTCTTGATGTTACATCTGCTAGGTTCCATACTCATATTTTCTGAAATCCTAGAACTCAGTTAACACACTGATAGGTCCAATTTTTATGCCATTCTAATCATTCCTGTCATTTCTGGGCCTATTTGTATTGACTGATTTTTCTCCTGGTCGTGGGTCATAACCAACGCTTTCTATGTTTAGGGAGTTTTTAAATTTAGGACTCACACTGTCGATACCGCATAGCTGAGCCACTTGATTTTGCTGTTTACCTCTAAGGAGGGTTGTGTTTTCCTCTAGCAGGCAGTTAATTGACTTGGAAACCTTTTTGATGCTTAAGAGATTTGCCTTTAGGCTCAGCTAGGTTTTGTCTGGAGCTGCCTTTATTCTAGGAATATATTAATTCTACCCTTAAAGTCTGGCTTTTCTGGGGTCTCTACTGAATGCCCAAGATGTTCAGTGACTTCTCTCTCCTCTGGCTGGTTAGAACTCTAATATCCGCTAGTGCTATGTGAGCACTGTCATCTTTACTGAGCTCACTGTTTCCTTGTAGATGCTGTTTTCTCATAGTTGTCCCCTTGTAGTTGCTCAGTAGATGTCCTTGGCCCCACTCTCCTGTGGAGCCCTTTTCTGTGCACAAGCAGCTTCATGTTTAGCCAATGACTTGAGGAGACTTCTATGCATATTCCCAGAGCTCCTTTCCTCCACACATCCGCTCTCATTCTTAGCAGGCCTAGAAAAATCCTAGCTACCTGAGTAATCCCAAACTCCAGTCTCTCTCCTCCATTCAGCAAGATAGCTACAGTCCACATGTGCTCCATCTCCCTGCTCTTCAGTGCAGGAAGGGTCTCCAAGAAGACAGCCAGGGAGGGCACTTATGGAGTTGATCGCATTGTTCCCCCTCTCACAATTCTCTTGGTCCTCTACCGTCTGTTGTCTAACATGCAGAAACCATTTTTCCATGTCTTTGGTAGCCACTTACAGCAGAGAGGCTGGACACAGGGTGGTCAGACCAGGGCTTCTGACCATCTACCCACCAGGCTTAATTTTCAGCATCTGCCTCTTTGTTGACTCTCATCTGCCTTCTTGCCTTTGCTCTTCCCTTGCTGGCAACCTGTATCTTGTCAGAGCACTGGTGCTCAGGACCAAGTGTGTTTCTACCCATTGGAAAAGACGTAGATACAGAAAGAGAGACATTTGCCTCTCCATAGATATGCAAATATTTTTTTCTCTTGAACCAAGACAGAAAAGGCCAACACAACTTTCACTTCAGGAATTGGAGGTTAGAATGATAGTATTCCAAGGTGGAAAGGCTGCATTGGCCCTCAGTGGGTGGTGTGGAAAGGTACTCTAAGTGTTTGGTCGTTTGTGGTCCTGACTTTTTCCTTAATGTGATCTCCTCGCCTCCAGATATCCTCCTGCTCCATAAAACTAGGAGGAAGGAGAGCCAGCCTAATATTTCTCTTCTCTCAGACTCTTTGCTCCAAGGCAATGTTCCTGAGACATTTTGCTATGCCCTTTGCATCTGACACAAGTTGAGTCTTGAGCAGTCAGCTCGAAACATGACTCTTCTAATAGAAACTTCAGTTGGCCCTTCCTTCTCTTATGGTAAAGAACAAAGACGTATGCATTTGGGTACTTTTCTGGGGTCCTACTGTGCTGATGTGGCGTCATAGATGACCAAGCTTGGCAGGTTCTTCCTGTGACAGTGGTGAAGTATGTGCCTCGATAACTCTGTCCATTACCGTGGTAGCACTGCTGCTCCCAAGGCCTTGGCTCTGTTGGTGCTGAAATTAAAAGAGAAAAAATCAAGCTGAGTATTTCCTAGAACAGAGAAACAGGTGAAGCCATTTATGACACAAACCAGGCAGGAGTTTCTGATATTACGACCCTTCTCTTTTCTCTATTCTTAGGCAGATGGACATGAGAACATAAACAAACAAACACCAAAGCAACAGATTTCTACCATTCTAGAAGTGTAGTACATTCATAGAACTATTTCCTGTAAAAGCTCAGAGAAAAACAGCAGATCAGAATGCTTCTCATAGGAAACTGTGCTCACAGGCAAGCTGGTCTTTAGGGATCTCTACTGAATGTTCACGGGAACCATGGGGCATGAGAGAACAAAGGGCTGTGCATTTGGCGGTGTGGGCTGTAGGTGGTGATTGGCTATCAAGGGTGGAGGTGGGGACAGACATGGAAACATTGCGTATTTCCCTAAAGTGTTGATCACGGGAGCCAAGGCCTTCAGCTTCTGGGCAATCGGGCAGAAAACAGTTCTGCAACTAAGACTGCAGGCAAAAACATTTTGCCTCTTAGGGATGGTTGGAGGCCAAAATCTTATCCCCTTGGAGGAGGGATGGAATCCTCTCGTGTCCCGCATTCTGCATCGTAATAAAGCAGAAGTCTACTAATCTTTCTCTCCAGACCCCTCCCCACTATGCACACACAGGTACAAGTTCCATCAGAAGGAGGTGTCAGAACACTAAGAAATCACTCACTTCAAAGCCTAGGACTGCAGAGCCTGCCTGGGACTGAGGAAGCTCATGTACTGCTCCATAGACCCAGGGCGATATGGAATTAATGCCGCCTGTTAGGTTTCTCGAGATTCACAAGCTAGAGAGCCACATTTCCTGGAATCTGCAGTGCTGAAGATTGCAATGAACGCTGTCTACCTTAAGAAATCCCTGGACAAGTGACTCGCTTCGAAAGAGTCACACATCTGACAGCATGTGACAATAGGAATTTTGGCTAGGACACTGGCCCAACCCCTTTGACAACAAGGTGAGTGGTGAAGTCCACCAACCTGGAGGGTTCGTGCCTATCCTAAAGACACAGCCCACTCACGTTGCACCAAAAATCACTCGTCTGGCTCCCCCCCAGAGTGCCCTGAGGATTCTTCCAACATGACAGACCATCAACCAACATGTGAGCACGTGCGTAGCACTGAAGGCTTCTGCAACAATGGGAGTTTCAAAGGCTTTTCTACCCAGTGTCCAAGTGTGGAGATGTCTGGCCACAGACTTCTTACCTGGTTTGGAAGGATCCTCTAGGCTTGGAACCGGGATAACAGTCAGAGGCACGACTGCAGTCCCTTCTGTGTCTGAGCATCGTGTCAGGTTGCAGTACTCCCATCTGACTTTGGGATCCATCGTGTAACACCAAGGGCCTTCCACAGGATCTGGATTCCTGCAGTAGTTCATGATCAAGTCACTGGAAATTCCAAAAGGATATACGTCACAAGAGGTGGGACAATATGCAGGGGCACCCAGCACCCTCTCCGTTTTGCTGTAACAAGGTCATAACCAGGGCCTTTGAAATATTCCCATTAAAAGTACCATACAATTGCCACAAGCATGAATGGTTCTCAAATTCTCATCCACTCTGCACATTTCCAATAATTAATGGATTTTAACTGTTTTATTTTTGTTGTTTGCAATGCTTCTTGGAAACACTGAAATAGTACATCCATGTGGCCTGGAAGGGATCAGAATATTGTCCTTCCACCTTTGGCCAATACATCTCTCTGGAATAACTGGTATGGATTTTGACGTGTGTATTGTGGAATCATTTATGCACATACAAGAGTATCTCGATCTGTCTAGCTGTCTTTATCTCTCTCTATAGGACTTCATATAGTATTGTGAGAGGTGGAACTAACATAGAGTTCCTCAAAGAAATAATGGTATCCAGGATGATATCAATCCCAGGTCAGCTTTCTAACTCTTTGTGCTCAAAATGTAGCAAAAAGGCTCTATGTTATTATCATGGAAAACCATCATGCAAATAGTGTTACTGTCTGTCGATACCGTATCAGGTGGGTCAGAAAGGTTTGTTTCTGCAAGACTTATTAAAGCTTCCGTGCAAAACTAGCTTCCAGGCAGAATGCAGTATCTCTAGGATGGGTCCCAGTACATGACCTCCTCTCCTGCTCTCAGTCCATCTTCTACTGGCCGCAGCCACTCCGGGACTGAGGGAATGGGGGATGAGTTGAAGGAACAGTGGGTCCCAAGGCATAAACGGAGATGGATGAATAGACTATGAGATCTGAAGAGGTTAGGCAGCTATGGAGAAGTTAGTAGTTGGTCATTTGTGGTCATGACCATTTTTTTCATGTCTTTGGTAGCCACTTATGGCAGAGAGACTTGCCATTGGATGGTGGGACCCCAGCTTCTGTGCATCTATCTAACCCCCTCGCTTACTTTTCAGTCTCTGTCTCTCTCCTGAGTCTCATCTGTCTTTTTGCCTTTGTTCGTCTCTTCTTGGAAACCTGGACCTATTCAGACCACTGGTGCTCAGGACCCAGTGTGTTTCTGCTGATTGAAAGATACATAGATATTTATAGATAGAGATTTACCTCTCCATAGATATGCACATATGCTTTCTTCGAGATCCAAGATAGAAAAGGCCAACACAACCCTCACTTCAGGAAATCAAGGTTAGAATGATAGAATTTTAAGGCAAAAAGGCTGCATTGGCCCTTAGAGTGTGTTGTGGAAAGGAACTCTAAACTTTTGGTAGCTTGTGATCCTATCTTTTTCTTAATGTGATCTTCTCGCCTCCAGATATCCTCCTGCTCTATAAAGCTATAAGGAAGGAGAGTCAGCTTAACATTTCTCTTCTCTCAGACCCTTTGCTCCAAGGCAATATTCCTGAGACATTTTGCTATGCCCTCTGCATCTGAGACAAGTAGAGTCCTGAGCAGTTATCTCAAAGCAGGAGTCTTCTAAAAGAAACTTCAGTTGGCCCTTCCTTCTCTTATGGTAAAGAACAAAGACGTACGCATTTGGGTACTTTTCTGAGGTCCTACTGTGCTGGTGTGGTGTCATAGATGACCAAGCTTGGCAAGTGCTTCCTGTGACGGTGGTGAAGTATGTGCCTCGATAACTCTGTCCATTTCCATGGTAGCACTCCTACATTGAAGGCCTTGGATCAATCAGTGCTGAATTAAAACAGAAAAATTCAAGGTGAGTATTTCCTAGGACAGGGAAACAGATGAAGCTATCAATGCCACAAACCAGAAATGAGTCTTCAAGAATTACAATCATTCTCTTTTTTTTATTTGTAAGCAGATGGACATGAGAAAACAAACAAACACAAAAGCAACAGATTCCTACCATTCTGGAAATGTAGTAAGTTCTTCTAAATATTTCATATAAAAGCTTAGAGAAAAACAACAGTTCAGAGTCCTTTTCATGGGAAACTGCTCTCACGTGCAAGCTCATCTCTAGGGATCTCTACTGAATGTTCATGGAGACAATGGGGCATGAGAGTACAAAGTGTGATGGATTTGGCAGTGCAGGCTTTAGGTGGCGATAGGCTGTTGAGGTCAGAGGTGGGGACAGACATGGAAACTTTGTGTGTTTCCTTAGACCCTTGATTACCAGAGCCCAGCCCTTCCGCTTCTGGGTGATCAGGCAGAAAACGGTTCTGTGTCTAGCACTGCAGGCAAAAACACTTCACTTATTAAGGATGGGAGAAGGCTAAAAGCTTATCCCCTTGGAGGAGAGACAAAATCCTCCTGTCCATTCTCTTTTCTTTATTCATAGTCTGATGAACATTCTGCATTGCAGTAAAGCAGAAGTCTACTACTCCTTCACTCCAGACCCCCCACAGGTACAAATTTCATCAGAAGTAAGTGCAAGAACACTGAGAAATCACTCCCTTCAAACTGAGGGCTGCAGAGCATTCCCAGGACTGAGGAAGGTCTGAAAGTTAGAGCCTGGGAGCTCACGTACTGCTCTACAGACCTAGGGTGATATGTAATTAATGCAGCCCTTCTATGTTTCTCAAGATTCACAGGCTCGAGAGCCCCATTTCTTGGAATCTACAATGCTGAAGATTGCATTGAATGCTGTCTATTAGAGGAAATCCTTGGAGAAGTTACTGGCTTGGAAATAGTCACACATCTGACAGCATGTTACAATAGGAATTTTGGATTGGACACTGAGATAGCCCGTTTTACAACAAGGTGAGTGGTGAAGTCGAGCACCCTGGAGGGTTTGTGCCCATCCTAAAGACACAGCCCACTCATGCTGCACCAAAAATTACTCCTCTGGCTCCCCCAGACACGGCACTGAGGATTCCTTTAACATGGCATATCTTCAGCCATAATTCAAGCACTCGTGTAGCATGGAAGGCTTCTGCATTAGCAAGAGTTTCCATGGCTTTTCTATGCAGCATCGAAGTGTGCTGATGTCTGGCCACAGACTTCTTACCTTGTTTGGAAGTATCCTCTCGTCTTGGAACCGGGATAATAGTCAGAGGCGCGGCCACAGCCCTATTCTTGTCTGAGCATCCTGTCAGGTTGCAGTACTCCCACCTGACTTTGGGATCCGTTGTATAACACCAAGGGCCTGCCGAACAATCCGGATTCCTGCAGTAGTTGGAGATCAAGCCACTGAAAATCACAAAACAATACACGTTAACAAGAGGTGGGACAATATGCAAGAATATCCGGCACCCTCTCCATTTTGCTGTAACAAGGTCATAACCAGTGCCTTTGAAATATTCCCGTTATGGGTACCATATGATTGCCACAAGCATGAATGGCTCTCAAATTCTCATCCACTCTGCACATTTCTAATAGGTAATAGATTTTAACTGTTTTTTTTTTAAGACCTGAAGTAGCAAATTCCTTTTAGAAACACTGAAATAATACATACATGTGGCCTAGAAGGGATGAGAATATCCTCCTTCCACCTTTGGCCAATCCATCTCTCTGGAATAAACGGTACAGATTTTGATGTGTGTATTGTGGAATCACTTATACACATACAAGATTATCTCGATCTGTCTAGCTCTCTTTCTCTCTCTCTACAGGACTTCATATAGTATTGTGCAAGGTGGAACTAACATAGGGTTCCTCAACGAAATAATGGCATCCAGGATGATATCAATCCCAGGCCAGCCTTCTAACTCTATGTACTCAAAATGTAGTGAAAAGCCTCTATGTTACCCATGGAAAACCATCGTGCAAATAGTATTGCTGTCTCTCGATGCCGTATCAGGTGAGTGAAAAGGTTTGTTTCTTCAAGACTTATAAAAGCTGCCCTAGAAAACAAGTTCCCAGACATGATGCAGTACCTCTAGGATGCATCCCTGGACAGGACCTCATCTCCTGCTCTCAGTCCATCCTCTACTGGTGGCAGCCACTCTGGGACTGAAGGAATGGGGAATGAGTTGAAAGAACAGTATGACTCAAGGCATAATGGGAGATGGCTGAATAGACTATGAGATCTGAAAAGGTCAGGCAGCTACAGAGTTGTCAGCAAACAATGGCGCTAAGAGGCAAAGCAACTGAGAATCCCGTACTGGGTGTATCTTGGAGCATTTGCCTTTTGTTATGACTCCCAGGAACATTGCTCCAACCTCTCAGAATTCTTACATTCATGACCTGTGGCTGTCTGTGAAGATGAGAAATGTATTATGGGCCATGGGGATCCAACACCTCTCTCTAGAAAATCTACACATGTGAGCTAGTCTCAAGCACAGAATGTCCATTCCAGGAAGCTGATTCTCAGAGCATTTGGATGTGCTCAGAGCCAAGCAGTTGAAAGACTTCTTTTTCTTCCTTGGCTTCCCTCTTTTGGATACAAGGAGTCTTCTTGTTATAGAATATATTTCAGCCTTCAAAATTTAGGGATTGCTCTAGAATTTGCAATATCTCTCTGAAACCACATACTTCAACATTTTATTAATATTTTTAACCATCATAGATAAGGCAAGAAACTTACAATGGTATAATTCCTTTTATTTCCTATCTGATTTATGCCATGTTTTCAAATTTTTACTTCAAATATGCTAAAATAATATGTATTGCTGTCATTTTGCTTCAAGTAGTTAATGCTCATTTAAGTCAATTAAGAAATTTGATCAAGAAAATATTTTGCATTTACATCTACATTTGCCATTTGCTGCCTTCTTTATTATGTGGGATGCAGAAAGTTCCCCTCTTGCACTATTCTTCTTCTACCTGATTTCCTTTGGGTTACATCTTTTGTTACATAAGCCTGCTGATTTCAAATTCTTACAGTTTTGGGTTTGTTTCGGGGGGGTGCACAAGATGCATTTATACAACATTTATGATATTCAAGGTATTTTATTGCTTGATGTAGCATTCTCAGTATATCTCTTCTTTTTCCTGTGTATTGTTTGGACCATATTCCTTTGTATGCAGCTTGTCATGTTTCTGATGAGAACGCATTAGTCATTTGTATCACTGTTCCTCTAGCAGACACAGCTCTTTTTCCTCTAGTTTCTCATGGGATTTTTCTTGATACTGTATCTTTGTCTTCTGACAGACAAGCTGTGATGTACCAAAGTGCATCATAGAGTTTTCTTTTTGAAAATTCTCTTGCTGATCCATTGAGCTCCTTGAATCTGTAATCTTTTTATGCACCTCATTTTTGGAAGGTTTTCAGCCATCCTTGCTTCAAGTATTTGTTTCTGTTCCAATCTCTCATTCCTCTATTTCTGTGACTTCTTTCCCACATGTAGGAAATCTTTTATATTTTCCTTCATGTCTGTGAGGCTTGATTTCATTTTACAGTATCTGTGGATGTGTGTGTGTGTGTGTGTGTCTGTAACTTGTGCATCTGTGTGTGTGTGTGTGTGTAGCTGTTTCTTCAGCTTCTATGGGTTTGTTTTCAGTTAGTTTTTCTTCTTAACTTTTAACTGGATAGGGAGGCCATTCAGGAATTTTTTATTTAAGTCATACATTTCACTAGATTTTTAATTTGTTTTGACTTTTTTTTACTGTTACTTCCTCTTGATATTACATTTGTTTGGTTCCATATCCATGTTTTTTTAAATCCTAGAACTCAACTATCATACTGATATGCCCAATATTTATGCCATTCTTATCATTTCTGTCACCTCGGCCTATTTGTATTGACTGATTTTTCTCCGGGTCATGGATCACACTAAATGATTTTCAATGTGTAGGCAGATTTTAATTTTAGGACTCACACAGCTGATATCGCACAGCTGAGCCACTTGATTTTGTTGTTTACCTCTAAAGAAGGTTGAGTTTTTCTCTAGCAGGCAGTAACTTGACTTGGACACCATTTTGATGCTTGGACACCTGCCTTTCAGCCTTGCTAGGTTTTCTCTATAGCTGCCTTAATTCTAGGAATACACTAATTCTACTCCTAAAGTCTGGCTTTTCTGGGGTCTCTGCTGAATGCCCAAGATGTTCAGTGTGGTCACTCTCCTCTGGCTGGTCAGAACTCCAACCGCCCCCAGTGCTATCTCAGCTCTGTGAGCTTTATTGAGCTCACTGTTGCCTTGTAGTTGCTGTTCCTCAGTAGATGTCCTTTGCCCTAGTCTCTTGTGGAACATTTTTCTGTGCACAAAAAACTTTATGTTTAGTCAATGACTTGAAGAGATTTCTATACGTATTCCTAGAGCTCCTTTGCCCCACAAATCCGTTCTCATTCTTAGCTTGCCTAGAAAATCCTAGGTACCGGAAAATCCCAAACTCCAATCTCTCCTCCATTCAGCAAGATGGATACAGTCCACATGGGTTCCGTCTCCCTGCTCTTCCGTGCAGGAACGGTCCCAAGAAGAAAGCCAAGGAGGGCATCTGTGGAGTTGATCTCATTGTACTCCTTGTCACAATTCTCTCAGTCCTCTACCATCTGTTGTTTTACGTGTGGAAACCATTTTTCCATGTCCTTTGTAGCCACTTAGAGGAGAGAGACTGGCCATGAGTTGGTCAGACCCAGGCTTCTGTCCATCTGCCCACCCCTTTTATTTTTCAGCATCTGTCTCTTTGCTGTCTCTCATCAGCCTTCCTGCCTTTGCCCTTCTCTTTCTGGCACCTCATATCTGAGACCATTGCTGCTTGGGATCGAGTTTGTTTCTACCTATTGGAATAGACGTAGAAATAGAAAGCTTTGACTCTCCATAGATATGCACATACTCCTTCCTCGTGAGCCAAGACAGAAAGGGCCAACACAACTTTTACTTCAGGAATCAGAGGTTAGAATGATAGAATTCCAAGGTGGAAAGGCTGCATTGACTCTTACTGTGTGTTGTAGAAAACACTCTTAAGTGTTTGGTTATTTGTGGTCCTGACAGTTTTCGTAATGTGATCACCTCGCCTTCAGATAGCCTCCTGATGCATAAAGCTATGAGGAAGGAGAGCCAGATTAACATATCCTATCTCTGAGACCCTTTGCTTCAAGGCAATATTCCTGAGACATTTTGCTATGACCTCTACATCTGAAACAAGTTGAGTCCTGAGCACTTAGCTAGAAGCATGACTCTTCTAACAGAAACTTTAGTCAGCCCTTCCTTCTCTTATGGTAAAGAACAAAACGTATGCATTTGGGTACTGTTCCGGGGTCCTACTGTGCTGGTGTGGTGTCATAGATGACCAAGCTTGGCAGGTTCTTCCTGTGACAGTGGTGAAATATGTGCCTCGATAACTCTGTCCATTTCCATGGTAGCACTCCTGAACAGAAGGCCTTGGCTCTGTCGGTGCTAAAATTAAAACAGGAAAAATTAAGCTGTGTATCTCCTAGAACAGGGAAACAGTTGAAGCCATTTATGACACAAACCAGAAAGAAGTCTTGGAGAATTACGACCATTCTCTTTTTTTTATTTGTACACAGATGAACATGAGAAAACAAACAAACACCAAAAGAACAGATTCCTACCATTCTAGAAATGCAGTAAGTTCTTCCCAATATTTCATGTAAAAGCTTAGAGAAAAACAACAGTTCAGAGTGCTTCTTATGGAAAACTGCGCTCACGTGCAAACTGCTCTCTAGTGATCTCTACTGAATGTTCATGGGGATCACGGGGCATGAGAGAATAAAGGGCTACGCATTTGGCAGTGCAGACTGTAGATGGTGATTGGCTGCTGAGGGCGGAGGTGGGGACAGACATGGAAACCTCGCACGTTTCCCTAGACCATTGATCACGAGAGCCAAGGCCTTCAGCTTCTGGCTTCTGGCAGATTGGGAAGAAAACGGTTGTGCGTCTAGGACTGCAGGCAAAAATAGTTTGCTTCATAAGGATGGGTGGAGGCCAAAATCTTATCCCATTGGAAGAGAGATGGAATTTTCTCATGCCCCACATCCTGCATTGCAATAAAGCAGAAGTCTCCTACTCTTTCTCTCCAGACCCCCCACAAGTACAACTTCCATTAGAAAAAGGTGCAGGAACACTGAGAAATCACTCACTTCAAAGCCTAGGCCTGCAAATCTTGCCCAGGTCTGAGGAAGGCCTGAAAGATAGAGCCTTGGGAGCTCATGTAATGCTCCATGATGCAAGGGCAACATGGAATTAATGCAGCCCTGTTAAGTTTCTCAAGATTCACGGGCTTGAAAGCCACACATTTCTGAGAATCTGTGATGATGAAGATTGCACTGAATGTTGTCTACTTGAAGAAATCCCTGGAGAAGCTTACTGCATTGGAAAGAGACACATATCTGACAGCATGTTACAACAGGAATTTTGGACTGGACACTGAGATAACTCATTTTACAATGAAGTGAGTGGTGATGTCGAGCACCCTGGAGGGTTTGTGCCTATCCAAAGACACAGCCCACTCATGCTGCACCAAAAATTACTCCTCTGGCTCCCCCAGACACTGCACTGAGGATTCCTCCAAAATGGCAGATCCTCAATCAACATTGGAGCACCTGTGTAGAATGAAGCCTTCTGCATCAGTGGGAGTTTCCATGGCTTTTCTTCTTAGTGTCTAAGCGTGGAGATGTCTGGCCACAGACTTCTTACCTTGTATGAATGAATCCTCTAGGCTTGGAACTGGGATAACAGTCAGAGGCACGAACACAGTCCCTTCATCGTCTGAGCACCGTGTCAGGTTGCAGTACTCCCACCTGACATTGGGATCCGTCGTATAACACCAAGGGCCTGCCGAACAATCCGGATTCCTGCAGTAGTTCGAGATCAAGCCACTGAAAATCACAAAACAATACACGTTACAAGAGGTGGGACAATATGCAGGAACATCCAGCACCCTCTCCATTTTGCTGTAACAAGGTCATAACCAGTGCCTTTGAAATATTCCCATTAGAGGTACCATATGATTGCCACAAGCATGAATGGCTCTCAAATTCTCATCCACTCTGCACATTTCTAACAGGTAATAGATTTTAACTTTTTTTTTTAAGACCTAAAGTAGGAAATACCTCTTAGAAACACTGAAATAATACATACATGTGGCCTAGAAGGGATGAGAATATCCTCCTTCCATCTTTAGCCAATCCATCTCTCTGGAATACATGGTATAGATTTTGACGTGTGTATTGTGGAATCACTTATACACATACAAGAGTACCTTCATCTGTCTAGCTCTCTTTATCTGTCTCTACAGGACTTCATACAGTACTGCGAAAGGTGGAACTAACATAGAGTTCCTCAATGAAATAATGGCATCCAGGATGATATCAATCCCAGGCCAGCCTTCTAACTCTATGTACTCAAAATGTAGTGAAAAGCCTCTATGTTACCCATGGAAAACCATCGTGCAAACAGTATTGCTGTCTCTCGATGCTGTATCAGGTGAGTGAAAAGGTTTGTTTCTTCAAGACTTATAAAAGCTGCCCTAGAAAACTAGTTCCCAGACATGATGCAGTACCTCTAGGATGCATCCCTGGACAGGACCTCATCTCCTGCTCTCAGTCCATCCTCTACTGATGGCAGCCACTCTAAGGGTGACTGAGGGAATGGGGAATGAGTTGAAAGAACAGTATGACCCAAGGCATAATGGGAGATGGCTGAATAGACTATGAGATCTGAAAAGGTCTGGCAGCTACAGAGTCATTGGCAAACAATGGCGTAAGAGGCAAAGCAACCAAGAATCTCGCGCTGGGTGTATCTTGGAGCATTCATTCGCCTTTTGTTATGACTCCCAGGAACATTGCTCCAACCTCTCAGAATTCTCAGATTCACGACGTGAGGCTGTCTGTAAAGACAAGAAATGTATTATGGGCCATGGGGATCCAACTACTCTCTCTAGAAAATCTACACATGTGAGCTAGTCTCAAGCACAGAATGTCCATTCCAGGAAGCTGATTCTCAGAGCATTTGGATGTGCTCAGAGCCGAGTAGTTGAAAGACTTCTTTTTCTTCCTTGGCTTCCCTCTTGGATACATGGAGTCTTCTTGTTATAGAATATATTTCAGCCTTCGAAATTTAGGGATTGCTCTAGAATTTGCAATGTCTCTTTGAATGCACATATTTCAACCTTTTATTAATATTTTTTACCATCACAGATAAGGAAAGAAACTTACAGTGGTATAATTCCTTTTATTCCCTATCTGATTTATGCTACATTTTCAAATTTTTACTTCAAATGTGCTAAAATATATTGCTGTCATTTTGCTTCAAGTAGTTAATGCTCATTTAAGTCAATTAAGAAATTTGATCAAGAAAATATTTTGCATTTACATCTATGTGCCATTTGCTGCCTTCTTTATTATGTGGGATGCAGAAGGTTCTCCTCTCATACTATTCTTCTTCTACCTAATTTCCATTGGGTTACGTCTTTTGTTGCATAAGCCTGCTGATTCCAAATTCTTATAGTTTTTGGTTTCCTTGTTTCGGGAGTGCACAAGATGCATTTACACAACATTGATGATATTCAAGGTATTTTCTTGCTTGATGTAGCATTCTCAGTATATCTCTTCTTTTTCCTGTGTATTGTTTTAAGATATCCCTTTGTACGCAGCTTGCCATGTTTCTGATGAGAACGCATTAGTCATTTGCATCACTGTTCCTCTAGCAGACACAGCTCTTTTTCCTCTGGTTTCTCATGGGATTTTTCTTGATACTGTATCTTTGTCTTCTGACAGACAAGCTGTGAGGTAACAAAGTGCATCACAGAGTTTTCTTTTTGCAAATTCTCTTGCTGATCCATTGAGCTCCTTGAATCTGTAATCTTTTTATGTACCTCATTTTTGGAAGGTTTTCAGCCATCCTTGCTTCAAGTATTTGTTTCTGTTCCAATCTCTTATTCCGCTATTTCTGTGACTTCTTTCCCACATGTAGGAAATCTTTTTATATTTTCCTCCCTGTCTGTGAGGCTTGGTAGATTTCATTTTACAGTATTTGTGGATGTGTGTGTGTGTGTCTGTTTATAAGTTGTGTATCTGTGAGAGTGTGTGTGTGTAGCTGTTTCTTTAGCTTCTATGGATTTTTTTTTTCAGTTAGTTGTTCTTCTTAAACTTCTAACAGGATAGGGAGGCCATTTAGTAATTTTTTATTTAACACATCCTTTTCACTAGATTTTTGATTTGACTTTTTTATACTGTTAATTCCTCTTGCTATTACATCTGTTTGGTTCCATATCCATGTTTTTTTAAATCCTAGAACTCAGTTATCATACTGATATGCCCAATATTTATGCCATTCTTATCATTTCTGTCACCTGGGCCTATTCATATTGACTGATGTTTCTCCTGGTCATGGATCACACTAAATGATTTTCAGTGTGTAGGCAGATTTTAGTTTTAGGACTCACACTACTGATATTGCATAGTTGAGCCACTTGGTTTTGTTGTTTACCTGTAAAGAAGGTTGAGTTTTTCTCTAGCAGGCAGTAACTTGACTTGGACACCATTTCGATGCTTGGACACTTGCTTTTCAGCTTTGCTAGGTTTCTCTGGAGCTGCCTTAATTCCAGGAATATGCTAATTCTACTCCTAAAGTCTGGCTTTTCTGGGGTCTCTACTGAATGCCCAAGATGTTCAGTGTGATCACTCTCCTCTAGCTGGTCAGAACTCCAACCGCCCCAGTGCTATGTCAGCTTTATTGAGCTCACTGTTGTCTTGTAGTTGCTGTTCCTCAGTAGATGTCCTGTGCCCTAGTCTCTTGTGGAACATTTTTCTGTGCACAAGGAGCTTTATGTTTAGCCAATGACTTGACGAGACTTCTAAATGTATTCCTAGAGCTCCTTTGTCCCACAAATCCGTTCTCATTCTTAGCTGTCCTAGAAAATCCTAGCTGCCTGAATAATGCCAAACTCCAGTCTCTCCTCCATTCAGCAAGATGGATACAGTCTGCATGGATTCCGTCTCCCTGCTCTTCAGTGCAGGAACGGCATCCAAGAAGAAAGCCAGGGAGGGCATCTGTGGAGTTGATCTCATTGTTCTCCTTCTCGCAATTCTCTCAGTCCTCTACCATCTGTTGTTTAACGTGTGGAAACCGTTTTTCCAGGTCTTTTGTAGCTATTTAGAGCAGAGAGACTGGCCATGAGTTGGTCAGACCCGGCTTCTGTCCATGTACCCACCCCTTTTATTTTTCAGCATCTGTCTCTTTGCTGTCTCTCATCAGCCTTCCTGCCTTTGCCCTTTTCTTTCTGGCACCTCATATCTTTTCAGACCATTGATGCTTGGGATCGAGTGTGTTTCTACCCATTGGAATAGATGTAGAAATAGAAAGAGATTCGACTCTCCATAGATATGCACATACTCCTTCCTCGTGAGCCAAGACAGAAAAGGCCAACACAACTTTTACTTCGGGAATCAGAGGTTAGAATGATAGAATTCCAAGGTGGAAAGGCTGCATTGACTCTTACTGTGTGTTGTAGAAAACACTCTAAGTGTTTGGTCATTTGTGGTCCTGACAGTTTTCGTAATGTGATCACCTCGCCTTCAGATAGCCTCCTGATGCATAAAGCTATGAGGAAGGAGAGCCAGATTAACATTTCTTATCTCTGAGACCCTTTGCTTCAAGGCAATATTCCTGAGACATTTTGCTATGCCCTCTACATCTGACACAATTTGATTCCTGAGCACTTAGCTAGAAGCACGTCTCTTCTAACAGAAACTTCAGTCAGCCCTTCCTTCTCAGGTGGGATGATATGCAGGGCACCCAGCACCCAGCACCCTCTCAATTTTGCTGTAACAAAGTCATAACCAGTGCCTTTGAAATATTCCCATTAAAGGTACCATACAATTGCTACAAGCATGAATGGCTCTCAAATTCTCATCCTCTCTGCACATTTGTAATATCTAATAGATTTTAACTGTTTTTTTTTTAAGACCTAAGTAGCAAATGTTTCTTAGAAGCAAAGAAATAATACATACATGAGGGCTAGGAGGGATCCGAATACCCTCCTTTAGCCTTTGGCCAATCCATCTCTCTGGAATACCTGGTATGGATTTTGATGTGTGTATTGTGGAATTGCTTATGCACATACAAGAGTATTTTCATCCGTCTAGCCCTCTTGATCTCTCTCTATAGGACTTTATAAAGTATTGTGCAAAGTGGAACTAACATAGAGTTCTCCAAAGAAAAAATGCCATCCAGGACGATATCATTTCCAGGCCAGCCTTCCAACTCTATGTACTCAAAGTGTAGTAAAAAGCCTCAGTGTTAGCCATGGAAAACCATCGTGAAAATAGTATTACTGTCTGTAGACACTGTATCAGGTGGGTCTAGAATATTTCTTTCTGCAAGACTTATCAAAGCTGCCCTAGAAAACTGGTTCTCAGGCAGGATGCAGTATCTCTAGGATGGGTCCCTGGACACGACCTCGTCTCCTGCTCTCACTCCATTCTCTAGTGGCAGCAGCCACTCTGGGACTGAGGGCATGGGGGATGAGTTGAAAGAACAGTGGGACCCAAGGCGTAAAGGGAGATGGTTGAATGAACTATGAGATCTGAAGAGGTCGGGCAGCTACGGAGGAGTCAGCAAACAATGTAGTAAAAGGCAAAGCAGGTGAGAATTCCGTGTTTGGTGTATCTTGGAGCATTCGCTCCCCCTTATGACTCCCAGAAACATTGCTCCAACCTCTCAGAATTCTCAACATTCACGACCTGTGGCTGTTTGTGAAAATGGGAAATGTATTATGCGCCATGGGGATCCAACACTGTCTCTCTAGAGACTCTACACATGTGACCTAGTCTCAACCCCAGACCCTCCATTCCAAGAACCTGGTTCTCTGAGCATTTGGAGGTGCTCAGACCAGAGCAGTTGAAAGACTTCTTTTTCTTCTTTGGCTGTCCTCTTTTCAATACATGGAATATTCTTGTTATAGAAAATACTTTAGCATTCAAAATTTTGTGATTACTCTAGAATTTGCAATATCCCATGAACCCAAACAACTTTTTATTAATATTTGTTACCATCATTGATAAGACAAGAAACTTACAATGATATAATTCTTTTATTCCCTACATGATTTATGCTATGTTTTCAAGTTTTTACTTCTACATATGCTAAAATAATATATATTGCTGACATTTTACTTCAAGTTGTCAACTCTTATTTAAGGCAATAAAGAAATTTGAACAAGAAAATATTTTGCATTTACATCTACATTTGCCATTTGCTGGCTTCTTCATTACCTGGGATGCAGAAAGTTCCCCTCTTGTACTATTCTTCTACCTATTTTCCTATCGGTCACACTTTTTGTTACGTAAGTGTCCTGATTCCAAATTTTTATAGTTTTTGGTTTTCTTGTTTGGGGAATTGCAAAATACGCATTTATACAACATTGATGATATTGAAGGCATTTTATGGCTGGATGTAGCATTCTCAGTTGATCTCTTTTTTTTTTTCCTGTTTATCATTTTGATGATATTCCTTTGTATGTGGCTTGCCATATTTCTGATGAGAACACATTAGCCATTTGTATCACTGTTCCTCTAGAAAGACACAGCACTTTTTCCTCTGGTTTCTCTGAGATTTTTATGATACTATGTCGTTGTCTTGATAGTCGAACTGTAATGTATCAAAGTGCATCATAGAATTTTCTTTTTGAAAATTCTCTTTCTGACATATTGAGCTTCTTGTACCTGTAATTTTTAAATGTTCATTATATTTGGAAGGTTTTAAGCCACTTTTGCTTCAGGTATTTATTTCTGTTCCAGTTTCTCATTCCTCTACTTCTGTGACTTGCTTCCCACATGAAGAAAATCTTTGCATGTTTTCCTTCATGTCTGTGAGGCTTGGTTGATTCAATTTTACCGCATTTGTGGATGTGTGTGTGTGTTTGTAAGGTTGTGCATGTGTGAGTGTGTGTGTGTGTGTGTGTGTGTGTGCATGTAGCTGCTTCTTTAGCTTCTATGGATTTTTTTTTCAGTTAATTTTTTTTCTGAAACTTCTAACTGGATGAGGAGGCAATCCAGTGATTTTTTTTTTTATTTAAGACATACCTTTTACTAGATTTTTAATTTAATTTGGCTCTTTTATACTGTTACTTCCTCTTGATATTACATCTGATAGTTCCATATCCATGTTTTCTTAAATCCTAGAACTCAGTTATCATACTGATATGTCCAATTTTTATGCCACTTTTATCATTTCTGTCACCTGGGCCTATTTGTATTGACTGATGTTTCTCCTGGTCATGGATCACACTAAGTGATTTTCTATGTGTAGGTAGATTTTAAATTTTGGACTCACACTGCGGATATTGCATAGTTGAGCCACTTGATTTTGTTGTTTACCTCTAAAGAAGGTTGAGTTTTCCTCTGGCAGGCAGTTAATTGACTTGGACACCATTTTGATGCTTGGAAACTTGCTTTTCAGCTTTGCTAGGGTTTGTCTGGAGCTGCCTTTATTATAGGAATATACTAATTTTATGTCTAAAGTCTGGCTTTTCTGGGGTCTCTACTGAATGCCCAAGTTGTTCAGTGAGGTCTCTCTCCTTTGGCTGGTCAGAACTCCAGTCTCCAGCAGTGCTATGTGAGCTCTTTCATCTTTATTGAGCTCACTGTTCCCTTGTAGTTGCTGTTCCTCAGGAGATATCCTTTGCCCTACTCTCTTGTGAAACCTTTTTCTGTGCACAAGCAGCTTTATGTTTAGCCAATGACTTGAGGAGATTCTATACGTATTCCTACAGCTCCTTTCCTCCACAAATCCATTCTCATTCTTAGCTGGCCTAGATCAGCCTACCTGAGTAATCCCAAACTCCAATCCCTCTCCTTCATTAAGGAACATGGCTACAGTCCATTTGGGCTCCATCTCTCCACTCTTAGGGAAGGGTCTCCAAGAAGAAAGCCAAGAAGGGCATCTACGGAGTTGATCTCATTGTTCCCCCTCTCGCAACTCTCTCGGTCCTCTACCGTCTGTTGTCCAACATGTGGAAACCATTTTTCTATGTCTTTGGTAGCCACTTATGGCAGAGAAACTGGCAATGGGGTGGTCAGACCTGGGCTTCTGTCCATCTATCTGCCCCTTTTACTTTTCAGCATCTGTCTGTTTGCTGACTCTCATCTGCCTTCCTGCCTTTGCTCTTTTCTTCCTGGCAAACCGTATCTTTTAGATCACTGGTGCTCAGGACTGAGTGTGCTTCTACCCATTGGAATAGATGTAGATACAGAAAGAGAGAGCTTTGCCTCTCCACAGAATTGCACATATGCTATCCTTGTGAGCCAAGATAGAAAAGAACAACGCAACCTTCACTTCAAGAATCGGAGGTCAGAATGCTAGAGTTCAAAGGTGGAAAGGCTGCAGTGACCCTTAGTGTGTGTTGTGGAAGGGTACGCTAAGTGTTTGGTCATTTGTGGTCCTGATATTTTTCTTAATGTGATCTCCTCACCTCCAGATATGCTCCTGCTCTATCAAGCTAGGAGGAAGGAGAGGCAGCTTAACATTTCTCTTCTCTCAGACCCTTTGCTCCAAGGCAATGTTCCTGAGACATTTTGCTACGCCCTCTGCATCTGACACAAGTTGAGTCCTGAGCAGTCAGCTTGAAGCATGACTCTTCTAACAGAAACTTCAGTTGGCCCTTCCTTCTCTTATGGTAAAGAACAAATACATACTCATTTGGGTACTTTTCTGGGGTTCTACTGTGCTGGTGTGGCGTCATAGATGACCAAGCTTGGCAGGTTCTTCCTGTGACAGTGGTGAAGTATGTGCCTCGATAACTCTGTCCATTACTGTGGTAGCACTCCTGCACAGAAGGCCCTGTCTCAGTCGGTGCTGAAATCAAAACAGAAAAAATTAAGCTGAGTATTTCTTAGAACAGTGAAACAGGTAAAGCCATTTATAACAGAAAACAGAAAGGAGTCTCTGAAAATTATGACCGTTCTCATTTCTTTATTTGTAGGCAAATGGAAATGAGAAACAAACACCAAAACAACAGATTCCTACCATTCTAGAAGTGTAGTAAGTTCTTAGAAATATTTCACCTAAAAGTTTAGAGAAAAACAACAGATCAGAGTGATTCTCATGGGAAACTGCACTCACATGCAAACTGGTCTTTAGGGATCTCTACTGAATGTTCATGGCGACCATGGGGCATGAGAGAACAAAGGGCAATGTATTTGGTGGTGCAGGCTGTAGGTGGTGACTGGGTGTCGAGGGCAGAGGTGGGGACAGACATGGAAACCTTGCATGTTTCCCTAGACCATTGATCACAAGAGCCAAGGCCTTCAGCTTCTTGGCGATTGGGCAGAAAATGGTTCTGCATCTACTACTGCAGGCAAAAACACTATGCTTCTTAGTGGTGGGTGGAGGCCAAAAGCTTATCCCATTGGAGGAGAGATGTAACTTTCTTGTGCCCCACATCCTGCATTGCAATAAAGCAGAAGTCTCCTACTCTTTCTCTCCAGACACCCCACAGGTAAAAGTTTCATCAGAACGAGGTGCAAGAACCCTGAGAAATCACTGTCTTCAAAGCCTAGGGGTGCAGAACCTGCCTAGGACTGAGGAAGGCCTGAAATATAGAGCATTGGGAGCTCATGTACCGCTCCATAGACACAGGGCATTATGGAATTATTCCAACCTTGTTAGCTTTCTCGAGATTTATAGGCTTGAGAGTCATGTTTCTCAGAATCTGCAATGCTAAAGATTGCACTGGATGCTCTCTACTTTATGATATCTTGGAGAAGCTTACTGGCTTGGAAAAAGTCATCCATCTGACAGCATGTTTCATTAGGAATTTTGGGCTCCAAACAGCATCCCTATCTGCCACTAACATGTCAAGCACCACTGGATCTGCTGGGTCATATGGCCCAAGTGGCAGAGCAGCTTGCACAGCAGCCTGATTCTGTTGCAGAGCCTTCTCTTGTTCTCGACTTCACTCAAAACTGGCAGCCTTTCAGGTCACTAAATAAATGGGCCAGAGTAACAGACCCAAATGAGGAAGGTGTTGCCTCCAAAATCCAAGTAGGCCCACTAGGCATTGTACCTCTTTCTTGGTTGTAGGAGGGTTCAAATTCAGCAACTTATGCTTCACCTTAGAAGGAATAGCTCCATAGGCCTTACACCTCTGAACCGCTAGAAATTTTACTGAGGTAGAAGGTCCCTAAATTTTAGTCAGATTTATTTCCTATCCTCTGGCATCAAATGTCTCACCAGTAAGTACAATGTGTTTACTACTTCTTGCTCACTGGATCCAATCAGCATAATATCATCAATATAATGGACCAGTGTGATATCTTGCAGAAGTGAAAAGTGATTAAGGTCTCTCGAATAAGATTATGACACAAAGCTGGAGAGTTGTTATACCCTTGAGGTAGGACAGTAAAGGTATATTATTGGCCTTGTCAGCTGAAGGTCAATTGCTTCTGATGGGCCTTATGGACAGGAATGGAGAAAAAGGCATTTGCCAAGTCAATGGCCGCATATTAGGTACAAGAACATGTGTTAATTTGCTCAAGCAATGAAAGCACATCTGGTAGAGCAGCTGCAATTGGAGTCACCACTAGGTTAAGCTTACAATAACCCACTGTCATTCTCCAAGATCCATCTGTCCTCTGCACAGGCCAAATGGGGGAGTTGAACAGGGATGTGGTAGAATCACCACCCCCTCATCTTTCAAGTTCTTGACGGTGATGTCAATCTCTGCAATCCCTCCAAGGATATAATATTGTTTTTGATTTACTATTTTTCTAGGTAGAGGCAACTCTAATGGCTTCAATTTGGCCTTTCCCATCCATAACAGCCCTCACCCTACCAGTAAGGGAGCCAATGTGGGGTTTCTGCCAGCTGCTAAGTATGTCTATGCCAATTAGGCAGTTTGGCACTGGGGAAATGACCACAGGATAAGTCCAGGTACTAACTGGACCCAGTGTAAGTCAGACATGAACTAAAATGCCATTAATTACCTGACCTCCATATGCCCCTACTTTAACTGGAGGACCACAATGATGTTTTGTGTTTTCTGGGATCAACATCAGCTCAGAGCCAGTTTTCAGTAGTTTCCAAAACGTCTGATTATTTCCCTGTCCCCAGTGCACAGTTACCCTGGTAAAAGGCCAGAGGTGTCCTTGGGAAGGATGGGAGAAAGATAAACACCATAAATTGTTGGTAGCTTAGTAGGGTGCTTCCTTAAGGGGACCCAGCCTCCCCTTTATTCAAGGGCTTCTGGGTCTGTAAACTGGCTCGAGTCTGGAAATTAATTGAGGGGCCATGATTCTGTGTCTTAATAATTCAGATTAGTCTTTTGTCCATTCTACCTGGTAGTTTTCTGTTTATATAAATTAAGTAGGAATGCAGTAGGCTTTCTATCAATTTCACTTCTAGGAACATCGTGATTAATTAGCCAGTGCCAGAGCTCTACACGAGTCAGACTATTCTGATTGTTGCTTTGCCTCTGCTGTGCATTATGGTAGCTATACCCAGCATTCCTCTGATGGGTCAGTGTTGCCACTTGGTCCCTGGCCCTCAGGATCCAATTATTCCCATTGTATTTAAATTTTGTAGTTGAGTGACTGTGGTTCCCACTGTTAGATCTGACATACAGAGAAGAGCAATTACAGGGCTCTTGAAAAATGCAGGTGCTACCCTCACAAAACTATTTCACAAAGCATTGGTCAAGGGTATATATTCTGGACCCTCCCAGCTGGGATGAGTAGGTCTAAAGTGACTAATCCAACACCACCATCCTAATCTCCCTAAGCCTTTGGACCCCTTCCTCTACATTAAACTAAGGGAGATCAGGCATTTCCAGCTCACTCACAGCAGGCCATCTTTTAATCTATATTTCGGGTAATCAAGCAAATAAACTATTAGAACCTTTTTTAAGTCCCCAAGCTGCAACATTAAATGCAGAATCCCTACTTAGTAGGCCCACATTAATAAATTCAGCCTGATCCAACTCTATGTTACTTCCACCATTATCCCAGACCCTTAATATCCATTCCCATGCCTGTTCTCCATATTTCTGCTTATATAAATTAGAAAACTCAAGCAATTCTTTTAGAGTGTAATGCATCTCCTCATGGGTCACACTCTGAACCTCACCTCTTGGGCCCAACAGGACTTTAGTCTAGTTGTAGGTCTAGAAGCAAACAAGGGCATTGGAGATGCCTCCTAAGGAGAATCAACATTATCTTGCCTGGCAACTGCCTCACGGGAGGCCGTCACTGTTGCCTCAAGCAGCGCAGGGTTCACATCCTCAGACAAAGGTGGAAAGGCTAATGGCAGCATGGGTCAGGGAGGGGATGTTGCCAGTACTGAGGATGGGGAAGCTGTTTCTTTTCGCAAAAAAAGGTTAATCAAAGTTCATAAATTCAGTGTCCTCAGTTTCATCAGGGTCCTCTCACATGTCCCCATTCCAAGTTACAGGGTTCCATTCTTTTCTATTCAATGCCCTCACTTTAACAGTAGACACCTGGCAGGGCTGGGCATGCACCTTTCATTGCAGGTTAGCTACTCGCATAATAAGAGCTTGCATCTGTTTTACTACAATTTCAACTCTTTCTCTACAGGAGTTAAGACTCTCACTCAGGGCAATCTTAGCAGATGTGTGGCTCAGTATCTGCTTCTGAAGCCAGGAGACAGAATCCCTGAGTTTATCATTTTCTTTCATCACTTTCTCCAGTGAACTTAGGACCAACCAACTTCATTATGCTCCTTGGTTCTCCACATATAGTCAAAGGTATTATGCATAGAGTCACTAAACTCCTTCCCTCATGAGTGGTGAATCAGGAGTGTCAAATGCATTTATTTTGCCTAACTCTTTAAACAGTTCATGCCAAGGACTATCAGTGTTCTCCATACTATTAGAAGTAGAGTGCTTTGCATTTTTGGGTCTAATCATATTAAGCAGTCATATCCAGAAATCTCAAAACCAATGAAAGAACTCCATCCTTAATATTCTGTTCCTCCAGAACCACTCCTGGTTCCAAAATCTATATTACTCAGGGTTCTCTAGAGGGATAAAACTAATAGGATACACACACACACACACACACACACACACACACACACACACACACACACACAAAGGGGACCTTATTAAGTAGTATCAACTCACAAGATTACATGGTCCCATAATAGGCCATCTGCAACCTGAGAAGCAAGGAAGCCATTCTGAGTCCCAAAGCTGAAGAACTTGGAGTCCGATGTTCAAGGGTAGAAAGCATCCAGCACAAGAGAAAGACGTAGGCTGGGAAGCTAGGCCAGTCTAGCCTTTTTACATTTTTCTGTCTGCTTTGTATTCTGGCCACGCTGCCAACTGATTAGATGGTGCCCACCCAGATTAAGGGTGGGTCTGCCTTCCCAGCCCACTTACTAAATGTTAATCTCCTTTGGCAACAACCTCACAGACACACCCAGGATCAATATTTTGCATCCTTCAATCCAATCAAGTTGACAATCCGTATTAATCATCACATAAACAATAGTAATATACTCAAATATGTATCTTAAGGATGGTTGTTCTTTATACTACCTCATTGAGGTTCTCTGAATTTCCTGAGTTTGTGTGTCGACCTCTCTAGTTAGACTGGGTAAATTTTCATGGACAATATCCTCAAATATGTTTTCCTCATTGCTTGCTCTCTCTCCCTTTCAGGGACACCAATGAGTCATAGATTTGGTCTCTTTACATAATCCCATATTTCTCAGAGGCTTTGTTCATTTTTTAAAATTCTTTTTCTTTATTTTTGTCTGATTATGTTAATTTGAAGAAACAGTATTCAAGGTCTGAGATTCTTTCCTTAACTACTTTTATTATACTAATATTTCTGATTGTGCTATGACATTCAATAGTGAGGTTTTTTTTAGCTCTACAAGAGAGGGTTGGTTCTTTCTTCAAATGGCTTGTCTTTCATCTCTTGAATCATTTTACTTCATTCCTTAGATTACTTGAAAGAGGTTTCAATTTTCTCCTGAATCTCAATGCTCTTTGTTGCCACCCAGATTCTGAATTCCATGTCTGTCATTTCAGTCATTTCCTTCTGGTTAGGAGCCATTGCTGGAGAGCTAGTGTGGTCATTTGGAGATAAGGAGACAGTTTGGCTTGCAGAGTTGCCAGAATTCTTGCGCTGCTTCTTTCTCATTTGTGTGACCTGATGTTCCTTTAACTATGATATAAGTTGACTTCATTTCTGGATGTTTTCAGAGGGCCAAGGTGGTGTACAAGGTCTTTATTTGTGGTTGAATTCTTGTCCATGGTTTTACGGGGTGGTATATTAGCAAAGTATTTTGGATTTTGAAGATTTTGATTTTGCAAACTAACAGGTAGGCTCTTCTTCAGCCACATGGCTCCTCTGTATTTCCTCACAATTGCTTCTCTCCCACTTGAGTTCCAGTTGCAGATCTCAGCTTAGCATTCTTTGGCCGTGTACCGCAGCCCTGGGGCAAGCTCAGCTTTGTTTTGGCTCCATAGCTTGGGAGAAGCAGGGGCAGGGGCGTCAGGGTGCTTGCAGGGAAGACACACTAAACTTTTTTTCCATAGGGTGGCTGGGGCCTGCTGGTGTGTGAATAAAGCACTCAGGATCTTTGTTTCTTCCCCAGTCCACAGACAGCAAGGGCAGTACCACTGCAGTGGCAGTGGCAGATGGGCTTTCAGTCGCCTCTGGGAGCTCCATCCCACAGAAACACAGAGAGCTGCCAATGGAAATGTTCAGCTGAGTATGAGGTGCCTGTACTGTGTGCCCAAGCCAGGAAACCTGCCTGGTGAAGAGTAACAGGTGGGAGCTCACAGGGAAGAGAGACTGGAATTCTTTCCATATAACCCCTGCTGTGTGCTGGAGGCATCAGGGAAGTGACCAGGTCACTTTGTTCCTTCTGCAGCCCAAGGGCAGTAAGGGCGGTATTGCTGCAGCTGAAATGGCAGAGGGGCTGTGGGTTGCCTCTGGGATTTCCTCCCCAGAGAAGCACAGTGCCTTCCTGTGCTCCCCTGCCTGAACACACTGACTAAAGTGTTCAGGCAGGGCCAGGGTGGTTGTGCTCTGCCCATTGAGGAGTAGCCGGGGCAGGCACCAGTGCAGAAAACAGTGTGCCCACTTTTCCGTAAGGCAGCTATACTGTGCTGGAGGTCCGTGAGAGTCCTGAAGCTCCTCGCTCCCTCCTGAGCCTGCACTTTAATCTCAAGAGTTTGAGATACACAGTGGTAAGGAAGAAAGTAACAATGAGTACAGCTAATGAAACCCAGGAAGACAAGTCAATTCTCTTTGAGGGGTGAGGTGGGGGCCACAGGCAGATGGAGTGGATTAAAGAATGACTAGTAGAGTGGCAGCAGAAGACAAGCCTGGCTCTGAAGGCAGCAAGTCCTCCAGGGAATATGGGGTCAGGGGAGGTTCTGAAAGATGACACACTGCAGAGAGCGTGTGTTTGTATGCTGATGACAAGTATCAGTAGAAAGGCAGATGAACGGATTCTCATTCTCAGAAAGACCTGTCCTGACCTCCTGAGAGTACACAGAGCATGAGGGCAGGACAGGGAGGAGGACGCACTCTCATTGATTCATGCAAAGTCCTCGGCCAAAGTTTACCTGCTCTCCACCTCTGTGACTTTGTCCTTTCTCAATTTAAGATGCTCCAAGCTGGAAAAATGGATTATTGACCAGTAGTTGGCTGATGCAATTCTAAAGCTAATACACCAAAAAGCACTTGAGAGATGTATCAGAAGATCATAGAGAAATAGATACTTTAAGCTAATATCCATGTCTTCACCCTGCACTGTCTTCTTATTTGAACTCCCTTTTCCGGGAAGAGTTGTGCTTGGGTAAATTCTATAGCTCACAGTGTGACTTCAAAACACATAATAAATTCATAAACTGTTTCCTACAGTGAGTTATGTTAAACTTTCTGAAGAGTGTTTTTGAAATGTAGGAGAGCAGACTACAATTGATATTCAAAAAGAGGAAACTTCCTGGCCGGGCGCGGTGGCTCACGCCTGTAATCCCAGCACTTTGGGAGGCCGAGGCGGGCGGATCACGAGGTCAGGAGATCGAGACCATCCTGGCTAACACGGTGAAACCCCGTCTCTATTAAAAATACAAAAAATTAGCCGGGCGTGGTAGCGGGCGCCTGTAGTCCCAGCTACTCGGGAGGCTGAGGCAGGAGAATGGCGTGAACCCGGGAGGCGGAGCTTGCAGTGAGCCGAGATGGCGCCACTGCCCTCCAGCCTGGGCGACAGAGCAAGACTCCGTCTCAAAAAAAAAAAAAAAAAAAAAAGAGGAAACTTCCATTTATTTTCCCCTTTAACCAAGTTAACCCATAACTGTGTCGTGTTATTATGCTTCATAGCGCATCACTGCTGAGATCCCCTCTCCAGCTCATGTCGCTAGGAAATATCCCAAAACAGAATCAATTTTTTGTCTTTTTAATTTGATAATTTTTCCCCAAGGCTTTTGTTTCTTTGATTCACCTCATATGGCAAGGGGTTTTAATAGGGTTTATTTGCTGGTGAAGAAACATTAAACACATCTTTTAATAGAAAAAATACTTTTATAGGCAAATGTAGTTGTATATTGCTAGTGAAGTAACTGGATTTTATTAATGGTGTGAGAATTTCTTCCTCACTGTGGTATGTGAATGTGTATGCATATTTGCATATGTAAAAGAAATAGTAATTTGTGAAATGGAAGATGATTCTCCACTTCTCACTGAGTATGGCTGTAAAATAAACTTGCTCTCCTCGGGCACTGAAGTACACTGGAAAGATGACACATCTACAGAAAGCATTCCTCTCCAAAAGAGCTTATAAGAGAATGTGCCCCCCAGGTTGGTTAAAACGTATGTTAATCCTATGGCAGAGAAGTTTGATTTAGCCTTTGGGTGTAGCCCACTGAGTAAGTTCATAGTGATCTATGTCCCAGTTTTCATGGGCTGAAATATAATACTCATCCCCCTGCCCCCATCTACACACACACACACACACACACACACACGTAGACACCAATTTCCCCCCAAAACCTCTTTGCTTAATCTTCTCCTGCTTTGTATTTTCTTTGATACTTTGTTGAATGGCTTCCACTAAGTTCAAATGTATTTTACTCTAAAGTCAATTTGTAAAATTTTATCTGGTAATTTATATATTAAATTGAAAGCATCTACACATTGCTTATATGAAGAACTACCATGAAAACGTATGGTTCCATTTATATGAAGTGTCCAAAATAGGCAAATCTATAAAAGCAGAAAAATACATTTGTGGTTGCCAGAAGCTGCAGACGCAGGGCAACAGCTAAGGAGAGTGGAGTCCCTTTTTGGTGTATGAAAATATTTTAACATTTATTGTGATGATGGCTGCACAACTCTGAATATATTTACATCCATTGGCTTGCATGCCGTAAATGGATGAATTAGACCTCAATAAAGCTGTTTAAGAAAAACCTATTAGTGAGACCAAGGACCCCCATTTTTCTAAGAGATGGTTTAATTTTTTGTGTGTTTTTTGTCTCCCCAGCTCCCCACTTTATACTTGGCCCTTTAGAATTGCAAATATGGCTTTTTACCTCCCCTTCATCTGAATCTCCCTACAGGGCAAGTCATCTAACTATGTGCTTCAAGATGGAACTCCTGAGTTCACAGTTGATTTATAAACCAAAGAATGTCCACTACAAAACTCTCACCCTCCAGAGACTTGTCTCAAGCGACAACATCCTGTTCACAAGGGCACCAGCAGGCACCAGCTGGTGGATAAGGTGCCAAAGCTAGCATGGACCCCTGAACCATTGCTTGCTTCCTCCCCTGCCTTTTAAAAGTACCACTTTCTGCTCCAAAAGTGAAGTGGTAAAACAGGACTCTTGTATTTCTTCCCCTAAGCTAGCGTTGGAAGTACATCACTTTCTTTACACCAGACTTCTCTCTTCTTAATTAGATTCTGCAAGTGGCAAATAACTAACCTGCTCTTCCGTTACACTGGGATGTGTTTAGATTAGTTTTTCAAAGGTTAGAACAAAGTTGAAAAAGTGAGAAGAGCCCTAGATTTTTTTTCTTGGAAATCTGGCTTAAATCCTGGTTCCTTTATTTCCTTGATTTGGGAATTTGGTCTCTGGGCAAATAACATCATTTTCCTAAGTCTAGATTTCCTTGTTTATAAAATTGGGATGAATATGCTATGCTATCTACACCATGAGCTCAATAAGCTACTGTCTGTAAAGAAATCACACTCACACTGACATGTACACACAGATATGTATGTACGTATACAAATGTGAGGACCTAACCCAAGCACTGAGTGAGTATTTGCTGAGTCACTATCTGCATACAGCATCTGGCAAATGGATGTGTGTAATTTCTCCAGGGATAAGAAGCAAACGTATACCTATGGAAAGCCTTATTCAGGCCATAACAAGGAGAGAAATGCTGAGTCCCACTCCATGAATGGGTCAAGGAGCAGAATATATTCAAAGAGATATTTCATTGTTTCAACTTGAAAGTGAGGGGAGCATGGCACCTGAACAGAGATGATATAAATTAATGAAACTGAGAACCAGGTGAAGAGCTTGACCATCCTTTGCGTAGTTAGCTACATTGCCTATTTTTTTCTTTCAACTAGACTGGCCATGATGTAGGCACACTCTTTTAGATTAGAAACACCACCCATTATGCCCATTCATTCCAGCACCCTGACAGTCTTCATGTGGAAATTAAACTTAGTTTTTTAAGAATTCCTCAATCTTATACAAGATTTTGAACTGGCGATTTTATGAATCAAAAATTAAATTAAATGAATTGCACATAAAGATATGGCATATGTATTTTTACTACATTGTGGGAGAAAAAATAATTATTACACAAAAAAAACTATGTCTTACCTGATTTCAGAAATAACAGAAGTAGAAGAACCACTTCCTTATGTTCCATTTTGGGACTGGCCAGCAGTGCCCAGAAAGTGTGTCCCAATCCCAGGATGTTGTTGACTTACATGAGAGTAAACGCATCCACAAACCAGATAGTCAAATTAAGTTAATGATTCTCTCAGAGACCCATGCCACTGGCTCAGCAGAGTTCAAACATTACCTGAATTTTTAGAAGCCCTTTTCTGAATCCAACCATCCCTCAGTCCCCTAAGAGTGGCCAGAGAAGAAGGACTCCACTGAGCTGACATTCCAGTTCAGTAAGTTGTAGGGACAGTTTTTTAAAAGAATCTGTAGGTAGGGGAGCACCAACCCATAACATACTGTAAGCCTGCAGGGTTCTCCAGCCCAGTCCCTTCTAGAACCCTTCCCTGTCCACAACCAGTGACGGATTATTCCAAACGTTGTTCAGTTTCATTTGACCTAGTTTGAAAACCAAGTTCCAATAATGAATAACTATGGGAGCTTGGGTTGCTGTATTCGGTCTCTGAGTAGCTTTTCCACCTACCCAGGCCACAATCAATAATAATCACCATTGAACATCCTTGAAGCAATTCTTTTGAAATTACTTTGCATCAAAGATTGCACAAGAACTGCTTTAAGTAGAAGGACTGATGTCAGCAATCAAGGGTCCCACCGAGGGCTGCAGATAGTTCTTGACCTTCACATGGGAAGGCGTCATTGAGTTCTGACACTCTGGCAATCCTCTAGGACTCAACTTTCTGATAAGCTAATAAATGGAAAGGTGAAATTAGATAAAGACATTATTACCTCATGGGACAACTAAGCATTAGAGGTTAGTCTAAACATGCTCTTTTAGAATCTTTACTACACTACTAGCTACCATTTATTGTAGGTTTGTCTATCTGTGCCAGATACAAACAACACTATGAATTACCCATACCATGCTATAATCACCAGATTTTTCTCTGTTATTCCCATTACCATTTTATAGATCAGGACATTGAAATTTGCTTGCCCATAGTTATATCAAAGGAAATTGGGAAAGCCAGGTTCCAATGCAAATATCTCAAATGATTACTTTTTTTTTTTTGAGTCAGTCTCACTCTGTCTCCCACTGTGGAATATAGTGGCACAATCTCAGCTCACTGCAACCTTCATCTATGGGTTTCAAGCGATTCTCCCGCTTCGGCTTTCCAAGTAGGTGGGATTACAGGTGTGGACCACCACGCCTAGCTATTTTTTTGTATTTTTAGTAGAGATGGGGTTTCACCATCTTGGCCAAGCTGGTCTCAAACTCCTGATTTCAAGCAATCCCCCCACCTCAGCCTCCCAAACTGTGGGGATTATAGGCATGAGCCACCATGCCTGGCCTCAAGTGATTACTTTCAACCACTGCACTACAATTTACTACTGGGAGGAAAGAATAATAATAATAGTAATGGCTATAATTTATTGATTAATGGCTATATGCTTGGCATTGTACTCACTTTTGAAGTTTTAATTTATAATTGACACATAGTAATTGTACGTATTTATGGGGTACAGTGTGATGTTTCAATGCATGGATACACTGTATAAGGATCAAATCAGGGTGATTAGCATACTCCTCACTTCAAACATTTTTTCTTTGTGGTGAGAAGATTCAAAATTCTCTCTTCTAGTTATCTTGAAATACACAACACATAATCATGAACTATAGTCACCCTAGTGTATAATAGAACACCAGAACTTATTCTTTCTATCTAACTAGAAATTTGTACACATTGACCAACCCCTTTTCATTCTCCTCTCCCTGACTACCCTGCTCACCCTCTGGTAACCACTATTCTACTGTCTAATTCTGTGAAATCAAGATTTTACTAAGTTTTATTGATAAATAATAATTGCATATGTTCATGGAGTACACAGATATATTTCAATACAAATGATGTACAGAGATCAAAGAGGGGTAGTTAGCATATCAATCAATCACCTCAAACATTTATCACTCATTTGTTTTGGAAACACTCAATATCCTCTTTCTAGTTGCTTGAAACTATACAATATAATATTGTTAGCTAGACTCATCCTACAGCGGCATAAAACACTAGAACATATTTCTGATACCTAGGTGTAATTTTGTAGCCTTTAACAAATCTCTCCCTATTCCCCCTTTCCCCACTCTTCCAGACCTGGAACATCCTCCATATTACTTTTTACTTCTTTGATATAAGCTTTTTTAGCTGCCACATATTGTTACTGGCAGCAAATCCATATGGGTCTGCAGCAACCTCAATTGTTGCTTCCTTGGACGAAAGATTTTAAGAGGCAGGAGGCAAAAGGACAGCAGGAGTGACAGTTTATTTAAAAGCTTTAGAGCAGGAATGACAGGAAGAAAAGCACACTCGGAAGAGGGCCAGGCAGGTGACGAAAGGCAAGTGGGGTGGCTGGCAAAATGGCCGAATAGGAACAGCTCCATTCTGCAGCTCCCAGCGAGATCAACACAGAAGGCAGATGATTTCTTCATTTCCAACTGAGGTACCCGGCTTATCTCACTGTGACTAGTTAGACAGTGGGTGCACCTCATGGAGGGTTAGCAGAAGCAGGCTGGGACATCGCCTCACCTGGGAAGTGCAAGGGGTCAGAGAACTCCCTCCCCTAGCCAAGGGAATCCATGAGGGTCTGTGCCGTGAGGAATGGTGCACTCTGGCACAGATACTATGCATTTCCCATGGTCTTCACAACCCACAGACCAGGAGATTCCCTTGGGTGCCTATGCCACCAGGGCCCTGGGTTTCAAGCACAAAACTGGATAGCCATTTGGGTAGACACTGAGCTAGCTGCAGGAGCTTTTTTTCCATACCCCAGTGGTGCCTGGGATGCCAGTGAGACAGAACTGTTCACTCCCCTGGAAAGGGGACTGAAGCCAGGGAGCCGAGGGGTCCAGCTCAGTGGATCCCACCCCCATGGAGCCAAGCACCCTAAGATCTACTGGCTTGGAATTCTTGCTGCCAGCACAGCAGTCTGAGGTTGAACTGGGATGCTCCAGCTTGGTTGGGGGAGGGGTGTCCACTATTACTAAGCCTTGAGTAGGCGGTTTTCCCTTCACAGTGTAAACAATGCCCCTGGGAAGTTCCAAATGCCCCAATTAAAAGACACAGACTGTCAAAGTGGATAAAGAGTCAAGACCCATTGTGTGTTGTATTCAGGAGACCCATCTCATGTGCAAAGACGCATGTAGGCTCAAAATAAAGGGATGGAGGAATATTTACCAAGCAAATAGAAAGCAAAAAAGAAAAAAAAAAGGGGGGTGGGTGGGTTGCAATCCTAGTCTCTGATAAAACAAACTTTAAATGAACAAAGATCAAAAGAGACAAAGAAAGGCATTACATGATGGTAAAGGGATCAATGCAACAAGAAGAGCTGACTATCCTAAATATATATGCAATACAGTAGCTCCCAGGTTCATAAAGCAAGTTCATGGAGACCTACAAAGAGACTTAGACTCCCACACAAAAAATAGTGGGAGACTTTAATACCCCACTGTCAATATTAGACAGATCAATGAGACAGAAAATTAACAAGGATATTCAGGACTTGAACTCAGCTCTGGACCAAGCCAACCTAATAGACATCTACAGAACTCTCCACCCCAAATCAACAGAATATATATTCTTCTCAGCACCACATTGCACTTATTCTGAAATAGACCAGATAATTGGAAGTAAAACACTCCTCAGCAAATGCAAAAGAATGGAAATCATAACAGTCTCTCAGACCACAGTGCAATCAAATTAGAACTCAGGATTAAGAAATTCACTCAAAACAGCACAACTACATAGAAACTGAACAACCTGCTCCTGAAAGACTACTGCGTAAATATTGCAATTAAGGGAGAAATAAATAAGTTCTTTGAAACCAATGAGAACAAAGACACAACATACCAGAATCTCTGGGACACAGCTAAAGCAGTGTTTAGGGGGAAATTTATAGCACTAAATGCCCACAAGATAAAGAAAGAGGATCTAAAGTCGACACCCTAACATCACAATTAAAAGAACTAGAGAAGCAAGAGCAAACAAATACAAAAGCTAGCAGAAGATAAGAAATAACTAAGATCAGAGCAGAACTGAAGAAGATAGAGACAGGAAAAACCCTTCAAAAAATCAATGAATCCAGGAGTTGTTTTTTTGAAAAGATCAACAAAATAGATAGACCAGTAGCCAAACTAATGAAGAAAAGAGAAAAGAATCCGATAGACACAATAAAGAATGATAAAGGAGATATCACCACTGATCCCACAGAAATACAAACTACCATCAAGGAATACTATCAACACCTCTATGCAAATAATCTAGAAAATCTAGAAGAAATAGATAAATTCCTAGACAGATACACCCTCCCAAGTCTAAACCATGAAGAAGCTGAATTCCCTGAACTTGAATAACAAGTTCTGAAATTGAGGCAGCAATTAATAGTAACCAAAAAAAGTCCAGGACCAGATGGATTCAGAGACGAATTATATCAGAGGTACAAAGAGAAGCTGGTACCATTCCTCCTGAAATTCTTCCAAACAATAGAAAAAGAGGGACTCCTCCCTAACTCATTTTATGAGGCCAGCATCATTCTGATACCAAAACCTGGCAGAGACGCAACATAAAGAAAATTTCAGGCCAATATCCCTGATGAACATCTATGCAAAAATCCTCAATAAAATACTGGCAAACCTAATCCAGTAGCACATCAAAAAGCTTATCTACCATGATCAAGTCGGCTTCATCTCTGGGATGCAAGGCTGGTTCAACATACACAAATCAATAAGGGTAATTCATCACATAAACAGAACCAATGACAAAAACCACATGATTATCTCAATAGATATAGAAAAGGCCTTCAATAAAATTAAATAGCCCTTCATGCTAAAAACTCTCAATAATCTTGGTATTGATGGAACATACCTCAAAATAATAAGAGCTATTTATGACAAACCCATAGCCAATATCATACTGAATGTGCAAAAGCTGGAAGCATTCCCTTTGAAAACCAGCACAAGACAAGGATGCCTTCTCTCACCACTCCTATTCAACATAGTATTAGAAATTCTGGCCAGGGCAATCAGGCAAGAGAAAGAAATAAAGGGTATCAGATGGAAAAAGATGAAGTCAAATTGTCTCTGTTTGCAGATGACATGATTGTATATTTAGAAAACCCCATCATCTCAGCCCAAAATCTCCTTAAGCTGATAAGAAACTTCAGCAAAGTCTCAGGATACAAAATCAATGTGCAAAAATCACAAGCATTCCTATACACCAATAATAGACAAAGAGCCAAATCATGAGTGAATTCCCATTCACAATTGCTACAAAGAGAATAAAATACCTAGGAATACAACTTAAAGGGATGTTAAAGACCTCTTCAAGGAGAACTACAAACCACTGCTCAAGGAAATAAGAGAGGACACAAACAAATGGAAAAAAATTCCATGCTCATAGACAGGAAGAATCATGAAAATGGCCATATTCCCCAAAGTAATTTATAGAGTCAATGTTATCCCCATCAAGCTACCATTGACTTTCTTCACATAATTAGAAAAAACTACTTTAAATTTCATATGGAACCAAAAAGATCCCATATAGCCAAGACAAGCCTAAGCAAAAAAAAAAAACAAAAACAAAAACAAAAAAAAAACAAAGCTGGAGGCATCACGCTTCCCAACTTCAAACTATACCACAAGGCTACAGTAACCAAAACAGCATGGTACTGGTACCAAAACAGATATATACACCAATGAAACAGAACAGAGCCCTCAGAAATAACACCAAACATCTACAACCATCTGATCTTTGACAAACGTGACAAAAACAAGCAATGGAGAAAGGATTCCCTATTTAATAAATGGTGTTGGGAAAACTAGTTAGCCATATGCAGAAAACGGAAACTGGACCCCTTCCTTACACCTTATACAAAAATTAACTCAAGATGGATTAACGACTTAAACATAAAACATAAAAACATAAAAACCCTAGAAGAAAACCTAGACAATATGATTCAGGACATAGGCATGGGAGAAGACTTTATGACTAAAACACCAAAAGCAATAGCAACAAAAGCCAAAATTGACAAATGGGATCTAATTAAGCTAAAGAGCTTCTGCACAGCAAAAGAAACTATCATCAGAGTGAATAGGCAACCTACATAATGGGAGAAAATTTTTGCAATCTATCCATCTGACAAAGGGCTAATATCCAGAATCTACAAAGAACTTGAACAAATTTACAAGAAAAAAACAACTCCATCAAAAAGTGGGCAGTAAGAACAGACACTTCTCAAAAGAAGACATTTATGCAGCCAATACACATATGAAAAAAAGCTCATCATCACTGGTCATTAGAGAAATGCAAATGAAAATCACAATGAGATACCATCTCATGCCAGTTAGAATGGTGATCCTTAGGAGGTCAGGAAACAACAGATGTTGAAGAGGATGTGGAGAAATAGGAACACTTTTACACTGTTGGTGGGAGTATCAATTAGTTCAACCACTGTGGAAGACAGTGTGGCAATTCCTCAAGGATCTAGAACTAGAAATACCATTTGACCCAGCAATTCCATTGCTAGGTATATACCCAAAGGATTATAAATCATTCTACTATAAAGACACACACACACGTATGTTTACTGCGGCACTGTTCACAATAGCAAATACTTGGAACCAACCCAAATGCCCATCAGTGATAGACTGGATAAAGAAAACATGGCACATATACACCATGGAATACTATGCAGCCATAAAAAGGTTGAGTTCACGTCCTTTGCAGGGACATGGCTGAAGCTGGAAACCATCATTCTCAGCCAACTAACGTAAGAACAGAAAACCAAACACTGCATATTTTCACTGATAAGCGTGAGTTGAACAATGAGAACACATGGACATGGGGAAGGGAACATCACACACTGGGGCCTGTCAGGGGTTGAGGGGTTAGGGGAGGGATAGTATTAGGAGAAATACCTAATGTAGATGACAAGTTGATGGGTGCAGCAAACCACCATGGCACATGGATATCTATGTAACAAACCTGCATGTTCTGCACATGTATCCCAGAACTTAAAGTATAATAATTTTTAAAAAAATTTTTTAAAAAGAAAGTCAAGTGTGTGCTTTGACCTTTTGACTTGGGGTTTTATATACTGGCATGCTTCCGGGGTCTTGTATCCCTTCTCCCCACTCACCCAACTCCTGAGAGCTTATCCAGAAGCTGTTTCAGGTGTTTTCTATCTATTGGGAGATGGCTTTTCACTGGTGCCAGCTGTGACCAATTATTACTTTACAAAGACAGTTAAAAACTGCCTGACCATCACCTAATGGTTGACAACACTCCAGGTGTGTGTTTGGGGCGGTGGTAGGGGAAGGCACTGTTCTGCCCTGCTCATACCTTACTAGCTACCTACTGTAACACTGAGTGAGAACACTCACTGTTTACCTTTCTGTTCCTGGCTTACTTAACAAACCTTCCTTTAGTTTCATCCATGTTGCTGCAAAAGATAGGATCTCATTTTTTTAATGGTTGAATAGTATTTTATGGTATGTATATATCACATTTTCTTTATCCATTCATGTGTAGTCAGACAACTAGATTGATTACATGTCTTTGTTATTATGAATAGTGCTGCAGTAAACCTGAGGATGCAGAGGTCTCTTTGATATTTAACGATTTCCATTGCTTTGGATAAATGCTTAGCAGTGAGATTGCTGGATTATATGGTACTTCTATCTGTATTTTTTTGAGGAACCTCCATACTGTTCTTCAGACCAATTGCACTAGTTTAAATTCCCACCAACTGTTTTTAAAATTCCCTTTTTTTCCTGCATCCTCACCAGCATTTTTTATTTTTTGTCTTTTTGATAATAGCCCTACTAACTGGGGTGAGACAATAGCTCGTTGTGGTTTAGATTTGCATTTTCCTGATTAGTGATGTTGAGCACATTTTCATACATTTGTTGGCCATTTGTATGTCTTCTTTCAAGAAATGTCTGTTCAGATCATTTGCCCTTTTTTTTTAATTGGGTTGGTTTTTTGCTGTTGAGATGTTCGAGATCCTTGTATATTCTAATACTAGCCCCCTGTCCGATGAATAGTTTACACATATATGAGGCACCACGAGATCCTTTACACAGGTTAGTTCACTTACTCCTCACTCCAACCCTATGAGGGAGGCGCTATTACTACCACTCTTATTTTACCCATAGAGAGTTCAGCAGAGGTTCATAACTTCCCCCAAAGTCACACAGCTAGTGTGGCAGATGGAGCAGGGTTGGATGCCAGAGCCAGGCCCTCCAGCCCCACGCCTCGTTGCTGCAGGAGCCCTCCAATCTGCAGTCACTGCCACAGGCATCAATGGCACTACCCAGAATAAGGATTTATTGAGCACCTACTGTATTCACAGAACTCTAATCAGTCTGAAAGTCCAAGCAATGAAGCAAACAAAGCCAAGGAATGGCAGAAATGGCAGAGTTCAAACCAGAGTCTAGGGCCTGAAGTGCACCGCATGGGCCAGGTTAAAGTGAATGAAACATTCCTATTTTGATCCTTTTCATTATTTATCATTCATACCCCTAACTACCTTTAATGCGATTAGTTTTAGATGTAAAAACAACAAATACGCTACAAATCAGCTCTTCCAACATTTTCTTCTCGTGAAAAAGGCTCTTTGAAAGCCCTGTTTTGCAGAAACTTGCTCCTTTTGCATGAATGGTAAATCATAGGAGACCTGGTAGATTACGCTACATACTTAATGTGAAAGGTTGCTTCATTCAAGAGCCTGGAGTTTTCAGACATTGTCCTGAAACTTCCCTGCCTAGGGTAGGGTAATGCCAGCGACGGCAGGAAATAGCTCTGACGCACTTAAGAGTTAAATACAACCTACAGAAGTTCTGGCTGGGTGGGGAAAACCTATTGCTAAAGAGAAGAGCTACTTTTTTTCTTTTCTGGAATTTGCAAACAGCATTTATTCTCAGCCTTACCTTCCACAAGCTCCACCTGGAACATTGCTGGGCAGCGTGGAAACAGAAGCAAACATCAGCCAGGCCGGCAGGGGGCAGCAGACCCCACATTTTGCCCTCGCCTCCCGTGGGAGGGAGTGCCCGGCTCCCAAAATCCTGTGGCGGGTTTTGTCCCAAGCGACTTCAGCCAGCAGATAGTTCGTGTCCTTCTGAGGCCGCAAAATTTGGGGTGGAAGAAGTGGGGCGTGAGGCTGAGAGTGAGGAGAGCAATCCAGGGTCGCCAGGGTGGGAGCCGCAGCGGGCCCTAGGCCTCCGGGAGGACACTGATGCTTCCGGACCGCGCGAGGCGCGCCGGCAATGCCGGCAATGGACGTGCGACAGCGGCACGAGGCGGGGCACCGGGAGGGGATGCGGGGGGAGGGGGGACTCGGGCATGGCGGGCTTCAGGTTCCGAGCCCTATCCCTGCGGGGAGGCGGCTGAGGCCCAGCGAGAATTCGAGCGCGGTGCGGGCGGGCCGGCAGTGCTGGGGGGACCCGGCGCACCCTCTGCAGCTGCTGGCCCGGGTGCTAAGCCCCTCACTGCCAGGAGCCTGCGGCGCCTGCTGGCTGCTTTGAGTGCGGGGCCCGCTGAGTCCGCGCACACCCGGAACTCGCGCTGGCCCGCGAGCGCCGCTCGCAGCACCGGCTCCCGCCCGCGCCTCTCGCTCCACACCTCCCCGCAAGCAGAGGGAGCCGGCTTCCGCCTCGGCCAGCCCAGAGAGGGGCCCGCCACAGCGCAGTGGTGGGCTGAAGGGCTCTTAGAGCATGGCCAGAGTGGACGCCAAGGCCGAGGAGGCGCCCAGAGTGAGCGAGGGCTGCTAGCACTTTGTCACCTCTCAATTTGACGTTGTAAGCTTCCTTCCACAGAGTGACCTTTTTCATGCAATCGATGTGCTCCTGTGTCAGCTATGCAAAATAATTTTTGTTTACTGAATCTGGTTTAAAAGGCAAGAAGTTGCTTCCCATTGGGCACTTTGATCCTGGTGAAACGGGATGTGTATGCCTGGAAACATGGACAGTCACATGCACTGCTTGGTTTTGTGTGGAACTAACATGAGATGATCTTTTCACTGATTTTCAGAATTGTGGAGAATTCACTTAGGAAAATAAGCATGTGTATCAATGCATGACCAATATGGGCGTTTACTTTAACTGATTTCACAGAAGCAGTGCTCCTAATATTTTGAGCCACACAGATTTTATCTGGTGCCTCTTTATGATATGATCAATTAGCTGCTTACTTCATAAGTTATGTGGAGTGGGGAAGATACTCCTATTTTCTCTTTAAATGTCTTTTCTCTGATTTAAAGAAGTAATAAAGGAGAAATCTTTTTGCTATATTTTACTTTTATCCTCCACTATTCTGAAGTTTAAGCTTCAATAATTAATATAAGTACAGTAAAATTAATATTTTAAAGGTAGCTGATATGCTTGATAACCAGAAAATATTTCATTTTTTAAAAATTCTATTTCATCTACTAATTTGATCCATATGATCCATATGCAAGGGTATGTAAAAGTCTATATATAGTCATATGACAAAGGTATATGGTGTATTGAATTTATACTTTTATTGTTCATCACTAAGACCCTTTTTTACTTTAAAAGTGGGTTATATAGACCTGTGAAACATGCAACAAAAATGAAAACACTGCACCTTTTTGTGGTTCTGTAAACACACAAGAAAAGTGGAGGTCAGGATCCATGCTGTTGGCCAGGTATTAAGTTGGCGTTATCAGCAATCACTGTAGTCTCTGTGAGTGCTGATGAATCTGAATGTCATGCCTTGGGAATTGCTTTTTTGACTAGATTACTGGTTTGAGGTTGTTGCCGTTGTGTTTTTTGTAAGAGTAGAAATTCACAAGTGCACAACGTTGGATTTAGGTAAGTGGAAATTTAATGCAATCACAGCAGTGCCTCATACAAAGAAAGTGATCAACAAATGTAGCCATGATAAGGGTCACTCGCTAGGCCAGTTGTCACCTACCCCTCTGCTGGATGACAGCCCTTCTGCATCTGCACTCAGCTCCCGCGTTTCCGGAGCTTCTCTTCTCAGACCATGCAGTGCCCAGAGCTTCAGATCTGTCCATATCCTTCATCAACACCTCCTGAAAGTATGAGACCTTGCAGAGGCCCATGTCTTCCAGGTGTTGCCAAGACAGCTGAGACAGAGCCCTGGAGTCCTTTCTTATCATCCCTTGATCAGGGTGTCTTATATCTGTTAATTCTACAAATAGCCATTTTTTTAAATGTCATTTATTTTAAACCAGTAGCTCAGCTGTCCTGTGCCAGCTCCACACCCTCAACTCTACAGCTGATTACACAGTTCATTATTATGCTAATTTAAGAAATGTTAAATATATGCAAACCTACAGAGGGAACAAACACTGTAGCAACTTACCAACTTTCCCACAACCTGCAGTTAACAATTGTGAACAGTTTGTCATTTTAACTTTTCCCCAGTCCCTGGAATTTCCTCATCTCTAACCCAGTCTCCCTCAACCACTCATGATGAAGTGTGTACCCATCCAATCTGTTTTGGAACATTTTAAAATTATTTTACTTGGTTTTTTTTAAATCAGCTTTATATATGCACATAGTTTAAAGAGTCAAAAAGTTCTGTCCAGGCATGGTGGCTCACACCTGTAATCATAGCAATTTGGAAGGCCGAGGCAGGAGGATCATGAGTCCAGGAGCTTGAGACCAGATTGGCCAACATGGTGAAACTTCATCTCTAATAAAAATAAAAAAAAATTAGCTGGATATAGCAGCCCATATCTGTAATCCTAGCTACTTGGGAGGCTGAGGCACGGGAATTGCTTGAACCCAAGAGGCAGAGGTTGCGGTGAGCCAAGACTGCACCACTGCACTCCAGCCTGGGTGACAGAAGGAGACTCTGTCTCAAAAAAAAAAAAAAAAAGAAAAAAAGTAAAAAGTTCTGTTTTTACAGAATTACTGCGTTTCCTTCTCTCCAGAGGCAAACACTTCCAATTCTTTATTTCATTTATTTTTGAGATGGAGTTTTGCTCTGTCACCCAGGCTGGAGTGCAGTGGCACGATCTCGGTTCACTGCAACCTTCACCTCCCTGGTTCAAGCGATTCTCCTGCCTCAGCCTCTTGAGTAGCTGGGACTACGGCGTCCACCACCAGGCCTGGCTAATTTTTGTATTTTTAGTAGAGACTGGGTTTCACCATGTTGGCCAGGCTGGTCTCAAACTCCTGACCTCAGGGCGATCCACCCACCTCCGCCTCCCAAAGTGCTGGGATTACAGGCCTGAGCCACCGCACCCGGCCACCTCCAATTCTTTCAACTGATCCTATTGGCATTTACCTTCAGCTCTCTAAATAACTTTCTGACTGTGGTACTTCTTTTTTCAGTTTTAGTCATTACCTATTGATATGGTTTCGATCTGTGTTCATGCCCAAATTTCAAGTCAAATTGTAATCCTTAGTGTGGAGGCGGGGTCTGATGGGAGGTGATTGGCTCATAGGGCAGTAACTCATGAATGGTTTAGCACCTTCTCCAGGTGCTGTTCTCCTGATAGTGAGTTCTCAGGAGATCTGGTTGTTTAAGTGTGTGTGGTACCTCCCCCACCCTTGCTCCTGCTCCTGCCATATGAGAAGTGTTTTCCATTTTTAAAATTATAGACATTTAAATTATAGACATTTTAATGGATATGAAGTCTTATTTCATTGTGATTTTATTGGCATACACAGCATACACATACCGTCCACATACCACACACATACACTTCACACACCGTACATACTACATACACCCACACATCCTTTTGCCATATGTACCTAAAATAATTATGTAATTATATTGTAATTTTGGTTAAGTAAATATTCAGTGTTTATGTAACTGAGGCCTGTAGTATCCTTTTATATTTCTCCCTAGAATTCATTATTTTCTTTTCTGTAAGCTTTTATGTCTGTTTCCTAATTCCACTCCAAATTCTCAGTTATATACCTTTTCAATATGCCCCCAAACCAATCAGGCCATCTAGCGTTTTTCTTCCAGAGAGCTCCTCGGGAACCACCGGCTCTGCTCTGGTGTGGCCTGGGTGCACAGCCGGCCTGCTGTGCAGTTGTGGGATCTCCATGGACTGTCATCCAGAAGACCCCCTTTCCTCTCTGATATTTGATCCCGTTTCATGGATCCCACATCTTCCTTTTTAAAAAAAGTTACTTCCTCATTTTGCCAAAGCAAATATTCTAGTATCATCCTTAGAAAGGATACATGGAAGGTATTTTTTAATTGAAGTGAAATTCTCATAAGAAAAGTAGCAGTCTTATAGTGAACAATGCGTTGTATTTAGTATGTTCACATTGGCAACCACCACCTCCATCCAGTTCCAAAACATTTTCATGACCCCAAAGCACAATGCAGTACCCAATAAGCTGGTACTTTCCATGACCCCATCCCAGCCCTTGCTTTCAAGTTTCAGCCATGTAGCGGATACCAGTACTTCATTCCTTTTTGTAGCTGTATAAACCACAATTTGTTTATCCCCTCATCTATTGATTGACATTTGGGTGTGGCTGTTGTAACAGTGCTGCTATGAACATTCTCATGCAAGGTATCTGTTTGGGCACTTGTTTTCAATTCTTGTATATATACACCTAAGAGTAAAATTGTTAGATCACATGGTAATTCTATGTTTAGCATTTTAAGGAACTGTCAAATTGTTTTCCACAGTGGCCAAACCATTTTCCCTGTACATTCCCACCAGCAATATACAGGATTCTAATTTCTCCACATCCTCACAAATGCTTGTTATTTTCCATTTTTTAAATTATAGACATTTTAATGGATATGAAGTCTTATTTCATTGTGATTTTATTGGCATTTTCTTAATGACTAATGATGTTGACCATCATTTCATGTACTTATTGCCTATTTGTATATCTTTTTTGGAAAAAATGTCTATTCACGTTCTTGTTTTTCTTTTTATTGTTGAGTTGTAAGAGTTCTTTTTTTTTTTTTTAACTCATTTCCCATTTGCCCCAAGAATACTATGCAGGCAGCAAGCTACATATTTTCTTTTTCTAAATAAGAAGTGGGTTAAGAGATGGCAGTCTCACTCTGTCACGCAGCCTGGAGGGCAGTGGCCCAATCATAGCTCACTGCAGTGTCGAACTCCCAGGCTCAAGTGATCCTCCCACCTTGGCCTCCCCAAGTGCTGGGATTACAGGTGTGAGCCACTGCTCCCAGCCTAGAGATCTTAATATATTCTGGACACCAGGCCTTTGTCAATAGGTTTGCTTCATCAGTAGGTTGCTTTTCACTTTCTTGATAATGTCATTTGACACATAATAGCTTTTAATTTTTTTCATTACTTTTCAATT